>NC_000014.9:77642016-77793531 GCF_000001405.40 Homo sapiens | reverse complement strand
TGAGAACAAGGATTTATCTGCCTCTGACTGCTGAGGAATCCCAGAAAAGGCACATCACCTAAGCCCTTCAGAGTTCTTATCTGTTATAGGGAAAGGAAAAATTCCATGTGAAAAACAGCTGATAAGGCCAGGAGCCATGGCTCATGCCTGTAATCCCAGCACTTTGGGAGGCAGAGGTAGAAGGTTAGCTTGAGCTTAGGAGTTTGAGACCAGCCTGGGCAACATAGGTGAGACCTTGTCTCTACTAAAAAAAAAATTAAAAGAAAAAAATGTTTAAAAGAACAACTGATATATTTCAATAAGGGTAAAAAGTATGGTTGGTTGGTTGGTTTTTTGAGACAGGGTCTTGTTGTATTG
This sequence comes from Homo sapiens, assembly GCF_000001405.40. Classification (NCBI taxonomy): domain Eukaryota; kingdom Metazoa; phylum Chordata; class Mammalia; order Primates; family Hominidae; genus Homo; species Homo sapiens. The sequence continues at coordinate 77,793,174 of NC_000014.9, read as the reverse complement.
CCCAGGCTAGAATGCAGTGGCGCAATCATGCCGCACTCACTACAGCCTTGACCTCCCAGGCTCAAGTAATCCTCCCACCTCAGCCTCCCAAGTAGCTGGGACTACAGGCGTGGTGCATCATGCCCAGATAATTTTTGTATTTTTTTGCAAAGACAGTGTCTCCCTATGTTGCCTAGACTGATCTCGAACCCCTGTGCTCAAGCCATCCTCCCTACTCAGCCTCCCAAAGTGCAGGCATGAGATGGAGTCTCGCTTTGTCATCCAGGCTGGAGTGCAGTGTGTGATGTCGGCTCACTGCAACCTCCACCTCCCAGGTTCAAGCGTTTCTCCTGCCTCAGCCTCCCAAGTAGCTGGGACTATAGGCACACACCACCATGCCTGACCTCAATCACAGCCACGTGAATTCTTTTTTTTTTTTTTTTTTTTAGATGTGGTCTCTGTCGCCCAGGCTGGAGTAGTGCAATGGCACAATCTTGGTTCACTGCAACCTCCACCTCCCGGGCTCAAGAGATCCTCCCACCTCAGCCTCCCAAGTAGCTAGGACCACATACACACACCACAATGCCCAGCTAATTTTTTTTTTTTTGTATTTTTGATAGAGATGGTATTTCATCAAGTTTCCCAGGTGGGTCTCAAACTCCCGAGCTCAAGCAATCCACCTGCCTTGGCCTCCCTAAGTGCTGGGATTACAGGCATAAGCCACCTTGCCCAGCCAACCACATGAATTCTTTTTTTTTTTTTTTTTGAGATGGAGTCGCGCTTTGTCATCCAGGCTGGAGTGCAGTGTGCAATGTCGGCTCACTGCAACCTCCACTTCCCAGGTTCAAGCGTTTCTCCTGCCTCAGCCTCCCAAGTAGCTGGGACTACAGGCACATACCATCACACCTGGCTAATTTTTGTACTTTTAGTGGAGACAGGATTTCACCATGTTGGCCAGGCTAGTCTCAAACTCCTGACCTCAAGTGATCTGCTCACCTTAGCCTCCCAAAGTGCTGGGATTACAGACATGAGCCACCACACCCAGCCAAACCATGTGAATTCTTAACCAGAATTCTAAACTAATTTGGGGGGTAGAATATATATATATATACACACACACACACACACATACATGCATATATATACACATACATGCATATACATACACACACACACATATTTGTTTACATCATATATATATATACACACACACCCCACATGTATACTGTTATTTATCATGCACTCATTATTGGCAGATGCTAGTCTAAGTGCTTTAAATATATCTTCTTATATAATCCTCATGAGATATGAGATAGACATCATTATTATCCTCATTTTACAGTTGAGCAAAATAAGGTGGAGGGTTAAATAACTTGTCCAAGACCATTCTGTAAGGATAGGGCTGGGATTCAGCCCCATGAGCCTGACTCCAGAGCCCACACTCTGAAATGGGCAGCCTACTCTGATCATAGATATATTTAGAGAAAGAATCATTTGAGGCAAATGTCTGGGGCCAAAGTAAACTATACCCTGAGGTCTTAACAGGAAATAGGTCAAGTGGCTCAGTAGTAATCCTTTATTACCAACCATTAATTGACTACAGCTCAAAACTAAGAAGCAGTATGGACTGGAAGTTAGGCAAGCTGGCTTCCAGTCCTGCCCATGCCACGAATTAGCAACTGACCTTGGACCAGTCCTTTCCCCTTCCTGGGCCTCAGGATCCTCTTTATAAAGTAAAGGAATTTTACAGGTAGAGCTCTAAGGGCACTTCCCACTCTCACATTCCATGATTCTTTGAGCCTGTAAACAATGTCCCACTTCCTATAGAGTATGTCTCCACTCACCAAAAAAATGACACTGGGCCAGGTGTGGTGACTCACATTTGTAATCTTAGCACTTTGGGAGGCCAAGGAGGGTGGATCACTTGAGGCCAGGAGTTTGAGACCAGCCTGGGCAACATAGCAAAACCCCGTCTCTACTAAAAATACAAAAATTAGCTGGGTGTGGTGGTGCACTTATGTAGTCCCAGCTATTCGGGAGGCTGAGGGAGAAGAATCGCTTGAACCCGGGAGGCAAAGATTTCAGTGAGCTGAGATTGCATCACCGCACTCCAGCTTGGGCAACAGAGAGAGACTCTATCTCAAAAAAAAAAAAGACACTGCTGTGGATGGCACAGGTGAGTCAGCCCCTGTGCTGAACACTCTCTGTATCTTCCCAGGTGCTCTCTCCACCCTTCCTTCCTGCCCTGTGCCTCAGGAGGCTGACCTGCAAGAGCTGCATCTCTAGGCTCCCCTACTCTCTGTCTTCTAGCTGGGTTTGGCCAGTGGTAGCATGAGCAGATGGGAAGGCAGAGGAGGGAGAGACCTGGATGTCTGTATATATACACACTCACACACCAGCTGCTGCTGCCCTTCCTGCTGGTGTTCGGGCAGTGGCTGGGTTTCCCTCCTGTCACAGCTCCTGTCTGGATGCTTCTGCCATACCCCCAGCTGTCAATGGGCTTCAGGAACACCATTCTCACACCATGTCCCTTTAAACCTAGGGGTGGTGATGGCTTCCTGCTGCTGCCAGTACCCGGTAGCTTCCCCATTGCTTGTTGGTTCCTTTAACTGCCCATAACTCTGCTAAGTAGTCCATTCATTGAATATTCTGTTCTGCATGTAAACCCCTGAATGTGCCATCTGTTTCCCATAGGATCCTTACTGCTACAGCCCCAGGAGCGATGGCTTTCCTCCTCGTCCTTGCTACCATGACACTGGAAATTCCTTCATGTGTCATGAGCCAAAACAGGAAACCTAGAGCTCCTTTAAGCGTCCTATAGGCATCCCCACCAAGCCCTACCACTAGCAGAGGACCTAGAAATAAGCACTTTTAGGGCAAGAGAGCGGGAGTCTCCAACACCAATGTTTTATCAGCCAGAAGTCTAGAAAAACTTTTGAGAGAGGAAAACATGGAGTCAGTCTGGGCACAGTAGCTCACAATCCCAGCATTTTGGGAAGGGATTACAAGCCTCAGCCACTGTGCCCAGACTGACTCCAGCAGGAGAATTGCTTGAGCCCAGAAGTTCAAGACCAGCCTGGGCAACATGGTGAGAGCCCATCTCATTAAAAAATAAAACAAGATTAACCATGTGTGGTGGCACACACCTGTAGTCCCAGCTACTTGGGAGGCTGAGGCAGGAGAATTGTTTGAGCCCAGGAGGTTGAAGCTGCAGTGAGCCAAGATTGCACCGCGGCACTCCAGCCTGAGTGACAGAGTGAGACCATGTCTCAAAAAAAAAAAAAAAAAGGACTCACACACAAAGACCTGGGTTTGAATTCTGACTCAGCCACATACTGACTGAGACTACCTTCACCTTAGATTCTTCATCTATAAATTCGGAATAATTATATCTGCCTCTGAAGTTTGCTGCAAGGATTGAATAAGACAACCTACGTGAGCACTTAGCACAGTGCCTGGCACATACTAAATAGATGCCCAGTAAATGTTAATTCCCTTCCTATTAGGCAACTGGGAAGCCATGAAAGCAATTGGATGAGGTAAAGTGGCTTCCCCAGAAATACCATACCACCTCCTGCAGTTTTCCAGTGGAAGAGCCAGGCACTGGTATGGCAGTGAACCAAGGCGGAAAGAAAAGAACAACTCATCAGAAACCAGCCTTTTGTCAGAAAAAAAAAAAAATGCTCAAACCCAACTGCAGTGAGCAATTAGGGAATAATAGCTAAATACTTTCTATAATTAGAGAGAGAGGAACCATCGCAAGCGATCCAAGTGCCTTTGTCTGCACTGACCCTCTGCACCCAAAGAAGATCTTGGCCCACGTGGGACGGATCCTGGGGATCTTGGCATCTTTTTTAGTTTTTTTGAGAAATTAAATCTCACATCACCCTTCTGTTGCCAAGAAAGGAGATCAGGAAGTGGTGATGACCCTCTCATCAGAAAAGAAAGGCAAATGAAGATGTGACACATGCCAAGGGGGAATTCAATCCTGAAAGAGGAGGGGTCTTGCAATCTGCCCCGAGAGCTACTAACATGATGATGGCACAGGGAATGAGTTGGCCTCTCTGTAGGAGGAAGAGGCCAATTGTCTTTGGCCTCCACCTTTTTTGCCAACATCTGAGGAGAAGTAAATCCTTACTTTTTTTTTTTTTTTTTTTTTTTGGAGATGGAGTCTCATTCTGTCACCCAGGCTGAAAGTGCAGTGGCCTGATCTCGGCTCACTGCAACCTCTGCCTCCTGGGCTCAAGCGATTCTCCTGCCTCAGCCTCTGTCCCTAAATAAATAAATAAATACAGGAGATAGCCAAGAAGGAGGCACCAAGATCTGGCAAAATTCGTGAAGGTGATACCTGAATGACTAAACTTTGGAAAACATTGCCAAGCTCAAATATGCTGTGACAGTCATACTCAAATAGGGTGATCTTTGTCCCCCAGGGGATCTTTGGCAATGTCTGGAGACATTTGTGATTGTCATGACTTGGGAGATGCTACTGGCATCTAGTGGGCAGAGGTCAAGTGTGTTGTTGGACATCTTACAATGCACAGAACTGGCCTTCACAACAAAGAACTGTCCAGTTCCAAATGTCAACAGTATCACTGTGGAGAAACCCTGGTCAATCTATCAGGTGAAGTCCGAACCGAGACTTGCCATGAACATGACCTCCTTCCAGCTGGCCCCTCACCTATTCCATGCTGTCTGCCTCCTTGCTCCTTTGCTGGCCCTACCCCTGCTCCCTTCTGTCTACTGCGCACTCCAAATCTTGCCCAGCCTTTAAGGTCAACTCTGTGACTTTCTTTTTTTTTTTCTTTTTGAGACGGAGTCTTGCTCTGTCACCCAGGCTGGAGCGCAGTGGCGCGATCTCGGCTCACTGCAAGCTCCACCTCCCGGGTTCACGCCATTCTCCTGCCTCAGCCTCCTGAGTAGCTGGGACTACAGGCACCCACCACCCCGCCCAGCTAATTTTTTTTTGTATTTTTAGTAGAGACGGGGTTTCACCGTGTTAGCCAGGATGGTCTCGATCTCCTGACCTTGTGATCCACCCATCTCGGCCTCCCAAAGTGCTGGGATTAGGGGCATGAGCCACCATGCCCGGCCGAACTCTGTGACTTTCTTCTAGCCACTCTAGCACACACTGATCTTGCATTGGTCAAAGCTTTTTTTTTTTTTTTTTTTTTTTTTTTTTGAGATGGAGTCTCGCTCTGTCACCCAGGCTGGAGTGCAGTGGCACAATCTTGGCTCACTGCAGCCTCCGCCTCCCAGATTCAAGCAATTCTCCTGCCTCAGCCTCCTGAGCAGCTGGGCTTACAGGCACCCACCACCACATCCAGCTAATTTTTGTATTTTTAGTAGAGACGGGGTTTCACCATGTTGGTCAGGCTGGTCTCAAACTCCTGACCACGTGATCTGCTGCTGCCTCAGCCTCCCAAAGTGCTGGGATTACAGGCATGAGCCACCGCGCCCAGCCAAAACCTTTTTTATTACTCAGCCATGATTACAGGCTTGGTTTTGTTTTGTTTTGTTTTGTTTTGTTTTGTTTTAAGACGGAGTCTCTCATTACCCAGGCTGGAGTGCTGGAATGCAGTGGCGCAATCTCAGTTCACTGCAACCTCCACCTCCTGAGTTCAATTGATTCTTGTGCCTCAGCCTCCAGAGTAGCTAGGATTACCGGCGTGCATCACCACACTCAGCTAATTTTTGTATTTTTTAGTAGAGACAGTGTTTCGCCAGGCTGGTCTTGAACTCCTGGCCTCAAGTGATCTGCCCACCTCGGCCTCCCAAAGTGCTGAGATTACAGGCATGAGCCACCGTGCCCAGCCTACACTGCTGCTTTTTTAACTATAGGTTCTTAGAGCAGGATTCTGTTGGGTTTTTGTTTGTTTTGGGGTTTCTTTTTTGAAACAGAGTCTCACTGTTTCCCTGGCTGGAGTGCAGTGACATAATCATGGCTCACTGCAGCCTCGACCTTCCAGGCTCAGGAGGTCCTCCAGCCTCAGCCTCCCAAGTAACTGGCACTACAGGCCAGCATCACCACACCCAGATAATTTTCTTTTTGTAGAAATGGAATCTCCCAATGTTGTCTAGGCTGGTCTTGAACTCCTAGGCTCCAGTGATCCTCCCACCTCAGGAGTACTCATTATAGGCATGAGCCACTGCGCCCAGCCAGTTCTGGTTTGTTGACCCCTGGGAGGCTTTCTAGGGATCATGAACTCCTCAAAATTGTATGTATTTGCTTAGATATATGTATCTTTCTAAGCATAGAATCATAGCAGCCAAATAAATGTTCGAAGGGGTCAATGAATAGTAAAAATCAGTCCTATATGTCAACAACTTTCACATTCATTTATTATGCAGCTAGTATCTAGCACAGTGCTACCCACACATGAAGTTGGTTCCAGGAAAACAACCATTTGGAAGAACACATACGTGCATACATAAATGAACACATCCAATAAAATGTTTCCTGGGAGAAAAAGAAAGAAAAACAAAGAAAAAGAAGACTATAAAACAGTACTGGGAAATATTTCAGCTCCCCAATTCTCCTGTACAGATTTACTTCCTTAGGAGTTTTCACATTTTTATAACTATGTATTTCATCAGACTTTTCACTCTCATAAACCAAAGTAGATTGTATTGAAGCTGAAAAACATATTTCTTCATTTTGATTGGTATTTACATTCCAAAAGACTGTCAGTTAAATCCACCTTTATTCCTCCTGTATGCTTTTGTTTCAAACACTCAGAATCCAAGTAGTAGCTGTTTGTGAGGCTAAGAGAGAAAAGGAGACAGCCAGGCTTTTGTTTCTAAACCTGGTGAGCCTTTATTGCAGCACGATGCGCTGGCTTTCCAATCCAACCCTGGAGGCGGGTCATCCCATTTATGTCAGGGGCCCTGTTGCTTAGGTAAGGGGGTAAGATGCTAAGAGGATTTGCTTTCTTCTGCATGTTCCCCTATAAGGCTTTCAGGAAGATATTCTGTTTCTTCTTTTTTTTCCTTCTTTTTCAATCTGGATTTTAGTTTTAGCGGGTACATATGCAGGTTTGTTACCTGGGTATACTGCGTGATGCTGAGGTATGGGGTATGAATGATCCCGTCACCCAGGTACCCAACAGTTTTTCAACCCTTGCCCCCTCTCTCCTCCCCGACTCTAGTAGTCTCCCGCATCTACCATTGTCATCCTAATGTCCATGAATATCTGATGTTTAGCTTCCACTTTCAAATGAGAATATGTGGTATTTGGTTTTTTGTTCCTGCCCTAATTCGTTTAGGATATTCTATTTCTTGGACATTGGAGTGCTGCAAACTGTTTTTTGGGGAGAAAACTAGATCAGTTTTGAAGTCTAGGATGGCTGCAATTCAGTTCTGTGAGAGGCAATGGAGAATAGTTGTTTTCACTCCATTGCCCCCTGCCCAGAAGGATCATTTATTGTGTATTTACTGTGTTCCAGGTATTGAGCCACAGTTAAGCACCAGGCTGTGTTCCAAGGATACTGATATAAATAAGATGATGTTCCTGCCCTACTGAGAAGCCCATAGTTCAGTAGTAGGCACATTATTTTTTGTTGTAATTGTGCAGTTAATTTAACAAGTGATGTGCGGTGTGAAGCAAAGTTAATGGGAGGCCATCATTTGGACCAGCCTCCTGCACTGGGCCCCATCAGACCAGGCCAAACAAGAATGGAGTCACATGTGCTAAGTGCCACACAGTGAAACTAAAACAGGCCAGTTTTCCTTAAAAAACAAAACAAAATAGGAGGGTCCAGCTGGGCATGGTGGTTCACTTCTGTAATCCCAGCACTTTGGAAGGCCAAGGTGGGGGACTTGCTTGAGGTCAGAAGTTCCAGACCAACCTGGCCAAAAAGCAAGACTCCATCTCTCTTTTAAAACAAAACAAAACAGAAGATTCCAGTCAACCGGAGTCAGCATAATAAAGTAATCACCTCTGTTTTAACTCTTTAAGGAAAGTAACTTGAAAACAACCAATCTCCATTTTGTTCTCTGTTTTTGCTTTCCTTTTTTTTTTTTTTTTTTTTTTTTTTTTTGAGACAGGGTCTCACTCTATCACCCAGCCTGGAGTGCACTGGCACAATCTCAGCTCACTGCAACTTCTGTCTCCCAGGTTCAGGTGATTCTCCTGCCTCAGCCTCCCGAGTACTTGGGAATACAGGTGTGCACCATCACACCCAGCTAATTTTTGTATTTTTGGTAGAGACAGGGTTTCACCATGTTGGTCAGGTTGGTCTCGAACTCCTGAACTCAAGTGATCTGTCCGCCCTAGACTCCCAGAGTGCTGGTATTACAGGTCTGAGCCATCGCGCCCGGCCCATTTTTGCTTTCTTCAGCCCTCTTCTACCTATAAAGCCAACCTCTCCTGCTCAGCTCATCAGAACACTCATTACTCATTCTATTTTCTAGAATGAGGTGTTGGCTGATTCTATAATTGCAAATAAAAACCAATTAAGATCTTTAAACTAAATTTGTTGTAGTTTTGTCTTTTAACAGTAGACATGTGTGTAAAGTAATGCTAGGAGTGGGCGTGAGCCCCTCTGTTCCTGTTACGATAAAGCACAATGGGGGGCGGTGGCTCATACCTGTAATACCAGCACTTTGGGAGGCCAAGGTGGGAGGATCGCTTGAGCCTGGGAGATGGAGGCTACCATGAGCTGTGATCATGCCACTGCACCACACAGCCTGGGAAACAGAGCCTTGTCTCAAAAATAAATAATTAATTTTTTAAAATAAAAATAAAAAATACAATGGAGCACAATGAAGTTCAGGATTCAGCAGCTGGGTTCCAGTGTGGACTCTCCCACTTGCTAGATGAGAGGCCCCAGGCAAGTCCCTGATGGTGTCTGCTACAAAAGGAGCAATTGCAATTCCTTTTAGAAGTCTGGAAGAATATACACCAACTTAAAATGAACATTGTCTCCGAGTGGTAAGATTACAAATTTTTTTTATTTTTTTTGCTTGCTCCTATTTTTAAAGTTTTCCATGGAGGAACAAAATCCTTTTAAATCAGAAAAAGAGAATGACCAATTTTTTTTTTCCTTTGAGACAGAGTATCACTCTGTCACCCAGGCTGGAGGGCAGTGGCGCGATCTCGGCTCACTGCAACCTCTGCTTCCTGGGTTCAAGCAATTCTCCTGCCTCAACCTCCCAAGTAGCTCAGATTACAGGCACACGCCACCACACCCAGCTAATTCTTGTATTTTTAGTAGAGACAGGGTTTTGCCATGTTGGCCAGCCTGGTCTCGAACTACTGACCTCAAGTGATCCACCTGCCTGAGCCTCCGAAAATGCTGGGATTACAGGCGTGAGCCACTGGGCCTGGCCGATAATCACTAAATTTTTTTTTTTTTTTTTTTTTTTTTTTTTTTTTTTTTTTTGAGACGGAGTCTCGCTCTGTCCCCCAGGCTGGAGTGCAGTGGCGCGATCTCGGCTCACTGCAAGCTCCGCCTCCCGGGTTCACGCCATTCTCCTGCCTCAGCCTCCCAAGTAGCTGGGACTACAGGCGCCCGCCACCACGCCCGGCTAATTTTTTTTTTGTATTTTTAGTAGAGACGGGGTTTCACCCTGTTGCCCAGGATGGTCTCGATCTCCTGACCTCGTGATCCGCCCGCCTCGGCCTCCCAAAGTGCTGGGATTACAGGCGTGAGCCACCGCGCCCGGCCAATAATCACTAAATTTTTAAAACATGGCTTAATCCTCAGAAATATGCTGCAAGATACACTCTTTTTTTTACTTTCTTTTTTTTTTTTTTTTTTTTGTATTTTTAGTAGAGATTTCTCCATGTTGGCCAGGCTGGTCTCAAACTCCTGGCCTCAAGTGATCCACCCGCCTCAGCCTCCCAAAGTGCCAGGATTACAAGCAGGAGCCACTGCGCCCAACCAAGATACACTCTTTTAAAGCATTTTCCCTCCTCTTCCCCTATTCACTCTCTCTCTTTCTATCAGTCAGTCTGGCAATGTTCCTCAAAGGTTAGTTTTTAGGACTACCTACTTCAAAATCATTTGGAAGGCTTACTAAAATACAAATTCGAAGCCCTACACCCAGATTCAAGTTGTCTGGAGTGGGACCCAGAAATCCATACTTTTTTTTTTTTTTTCTTTTTGAGACAGGGTTGCTCTATCGCCCAGGCTGGAGTGTGGTGGTACCATCACACCTCACCTAAGCCTCAACCCCCATCCTCAAGCGATCCTCCTACCTCAGCTTCCCAAGTAGCTAGGACCACAGGAGTGTGCCACCTAGCTAATTTTGTTTATTTTTTGTAAAGATGGGGTCTCCCTGTGTTGTCCAGGCTGGTCTCGAACTCCTGACCTCAGGTGATCCTCCTGCCTTGGCCTCCCAAAGTGCTGGGATTACAGGCGTGAGCCACCATTGCCTGGTCCAGACACCTATATTTTAACGTGCTCCCTAAATGATTCTTTTCTGCACCATAAACCTGAGCAAATGAAGCATTCTATTTACACTAATTTTCCAGACAGCTAAGGCTTCCATATATGAAACTTTAAAAAATGTTTTACACATACCTCTAAAATAAGTTTGCTAAATAGAGTTTAAGGTTTTCTTGGGGACTAAGGCTCGCATCCATGTGATGGTGTGATATGATATTAAGATGCATTCATTCCTTCAGGGCCTGTTAAGTTGTGAGACTATCTCCCCCTCACTAATGGGGTCTTGGGCTGCAATACCTTCATAGTTCTATCAGTTTTGTACTGTTATTCATTACCTAGTATCTGTTATTTCTTACTTTTAAAAATCATTCACTTACCACCTTATAGCATGCAAATTGCCCCACTAAAAGAAACCAGGGCCTCTTACAGAAATGAGTCATTCCAGATCTGGGGATGGAAATGTACAACATGATCCTGGAATACCTTTTTTTTTTTTTTTTTGAGATGGAGTTTTGCTCTTGTTGGCCAGGCTGGAGTGCAATGGTGCAATCTCAGCTCACTGTCACCTCCTGGGTTCAAGCAATTCTCCTGCCTCAGCCTCCCAAGTAGCTGGGATTATAGCCGCCCACCACCAGGCCCAGCTAATTTTTTTGTATTTTTAGCAGGGACGGGGTTTCACCATGTTGGCCAGGCTGGTCTCAAACTCCTGACCTCAGGTGATCCACCAGCCTCGGCCTCCCAAATTGCTGGGATTACAGGCATGAGTCACCGCCCCCAGCCTGGAATACCTTTTATACCAGAAAGCAGGGAAGCCATCAAAGACTAATGGGGTTGGTTTAAAAAGGACTCAGAAGCTAACATGGAGAACCTTCTACTTGCTAAAAGGAGGATAATTTGAGCATCAATAGGCTAAAAACATCACTGGATGAAAGCATATTAAGTTTATTTAACTCTGTGAGTTTATAACGTTACCAAAAAAATTTTATCAGTCACCACTGAAGCATGCTAGGAAAGCACCTAATTTTTTTTTTTTTTTTTTTTTTTTTTTTTTTTTTTTTTTGAGACGGAGTCTCGCTCTGTCGCCCAGGCTGGAGTGCAGTGGCGGGATCTCCGCTCACTGCAAGCTCCGCCTCCCGGGTTCACGCCATTCTCCTGCCTCAGCCTCCCAAGTAGCTGGGACTACAGGCGCCCGCCACTACGCCCGGCTAATTTTTTGTATTTTTAGTAGAGACGGGGTTTCACCGTTTTAGCCGGGATGGTCTCGATCTCCTGACCTCGTGATCCGCCCGCCTCGGCTTCCCAAAGTGCTGGGATTACAGGCGTGAGCCACCGCACCCGGCCGCACCTAATTATTTTTAAAACTGGTCATTAAAGAGAAAGAATCAGGTATTTATTTTCTCTTTCCTTTGTGATCTCTTCCAAAGAGCACCTAAATAGTTAAAGAAAAAATTCTCTTGGAATATGGAGCATTCTAACTACTAAATGGAAAAGAAACAATAGAATAAGAACATCGCCAATTTGCAATCCCTAATGATGTATGGGTGTGGCAATGATCATAAACAGTTGCTAACATCACAAGAAAGACCATCAGACACTGGATCCTTCAGATAGAAGTAAATGCCTCCCCTTGATAAGTTTCTTCGTCCCTTCTCCCACTGTACTGCACAAACAAAACAAAAAACTCTGAGTCTGATCAAGCCTCTAGGTCTAATGAAGAATTTACAGGAAACAGACAGATGAGGGACATGTTAAACAACATCATGAGCTACAATTAACAAAACCAAGGCTATGGCAAACTAACAGGCAAATGACCCAATTTCTTCAACAAAATATTACATGAGAAAAAAGAGATGGAGGGGGAGCCTATAAGTAAAAGAGATAAAATATATAAAACACATAAAAACACAGTCAGGGCAATGTGAATATTATTTGGATATTTGATGATATTAAAGAATTAACTATTTTAAATTTAGATGTGATCATGGTACTGTGGTTGTGGTTTTTAAAAAAAGGAGCCCTTGGCCAGGTGCAGTGGCTCATGCCTGTAATCCTAACACGTTGGGAGGTCAAGGCAGGAGGACTGCTTGAGCTCAGGAGTTTGAGACCAGCGTGGGCAACATAGCAAGATCCTATCTCAACAAAAAATTAAAAATTAGCCAGACGTGGTGGCACAAGCCTGTAGTCCCAGCTACTTGTGAGGCCAAGGCAGGAGGATTACTTGAGCCCAGGAGTTCAAGGCTGCAGTGAGCTATGATCACACCACTATACTCCACCCTAAGCAAGAGTGAAACCCTGTCTCAAAAAAATATAAAAATAAAAAGGAGCCCTTATTGGTTAGAGAAACATGCCAAAATATTTACAAATGAAATATGATGTTTGATATTTGCTTTAAAATAATGTGAGTGAGGGAGAAGGAATATGACAGGCAAGATTGGCTTTGTGTTGACAATAATTAAAGCTGGGGCAAGTTCATCTCATTTTTCTCTTTTCTCTAGCTTTGAAAATGTTTGAATTTTCTTTCTTTTTTTTTTTTTTTTTTTTGAGAGGGTCTTGCTCTCTTGCTCAGGCTGGAGTGCAGTGGTGCAATCATAGCTCACTGCAGCCTTGACCTCCCAGGCTCAAGTGATCCTCCCACCTCAGCCTCCCAAGTAGCTGGAACTACAAGCATGGGCCACCACATTCATCTAATAACTTTTTTTATTTTTTGTTTTCTTTGTCTTTTTTAAATTTCTTTTCCTTTTTTTGTGGACAATCTTGCTCTGTTGCTCAGGCTGGTCTTGTACTCCTAGGCTCAAGCAATCCTCCCACCTTGGCCTCTGATATGGTTAGGCTTTGTGTCCCCAACCAAATCTCACCTTGAATTGTAATCCCCATAATCCCCATAATCTCCAGGTGTCAAGGGAGAGACCAGGTGGAAGTATTTGAATCATGGGGCTCAACAAACAAACAAAGAAAAAACTAGCCAGGCATGGTGGAGTGCACCTGTAGTTCCAGCTACCTAGGAGGCTGAGGTAGGATGTGGGAGGATCGCTTGAGCCCAAGAGGTCAAAGCTGCAGTTAGCTGAGATCAGACCACTGCACTCCAGCCTGGGTGACAGAGCAAGACCATGTCTATTTAAAAAAAAAAAAAAAAAACTTCCAGAAGAGTAAGGTTTTGGGAAAAGAGGAATTCTACCTCACTAATGGTAGGAACAGAAGTGGATGTAGCCTTTCTGGAGAGCAGTTTGGTAGTACTAAACACTTGTAAATGTTTATATTCCTTTAATAAGTAATTCTACTTTTAAAAAAATCAGTGTTGTCTGAAAAAAAGATTTTCAAGAATGTGTATGGCAACAAATTTTTAGTGAAAATAGAGCACTGATTAAGTAAATGTTAGAAACTAAAATACCATTGCAAACATTAATAATAATATTTTAGAATTTTTAATGACTAGAAAAAATACTATCTTAAGAAAGCAGGCCAGGTGCAGTGGCTCACACCTGTAATCCCAGCACTTTGGGAGGCCAAAGTGGGCAGATCACTTGAGGTCAGGAGTTCGAGACCAGCCTGGCCAACATGGCGAAAACTTGTCTGCACCAATAATACAAAAATTAGCCAGGTGTGGTGGTAGGCGCCTATAATCCCAGCTACTTGGAAGGCTGAGGCAGGAGAATCGCTTGAACCTGGGAGGTGGAGGCTGCAGTAAGCTGAGATTGAGACACTGCACTCCAGCTTGAGTGACAGATAGACTCCATATCAAAAAAAAAAAAGAAAGCAGATTACAAAACAATATTCACAGCTGGATTTCTATTGCATATATTATTTAAAAGGCTCAAAGGATATACTATAAAATGATAATAGTGATTATCTCTGCAGAGTAGGATTATGGATAATTTAAATTTTCTTCTTGTACTTTTCTGAAAATTCCAAATGTCAATCGAAAACTTGTAGAACATTTTATCTATGAAAAAATGCAGGCTGCGTGTGGTGGCTCATGCCTGTAATCCCAGCACTTTAGGAGGCTGTATTACTCCAATTTCATGCTGCTATCAACAACTGCCTGAGTTGTTGTTATAAATTACTGGGTAATTTATAAAGGAAAGAGGTTTCATTGACTCACAGTTCAGCATGGCTGGGGTGGCCTCAGAAAACTTATAATCATGGCAGAAGGCAAAGGGGAAGCCAGACACCTTCTTCATAAGGTGGCAGGAAGGAGAAGTGCCAAGTGAAGGGGGAAGAACCCCTTATAAAACCATCAGATCTTGTGAGAACTCACTCACTATCATGAGAACAGCATGGGAGAAACGTTGTTTATAGAGATGGGGTCTCACTATGTTGACCAGGCTAGTTTTGAACTCCTGGGCTCAAACAAACCTCCTGCCTCAGCCTCCCAAAGTGCTAGGATTAAAGACATGACCCACAACGCCTGTCCTGGAAGTTTTTGTTTTTGTCTTTGTTATTGTTTTTTTGAAACAGCTCCCGGGCTGGAGTGCAGTAGCACTATCTCAGCTCATTGCAACCACTGCCTCCTGGGTTCAAGTCATTCTAGTGTCTCAGCCTCCCAAGTAGCTGGGATTACAGGCAGGTGCCACCACACCTGGCTAATTTTTTATTTTTAGTACACAGAGGGTTTCACCATGTTCGCCAGGCTGGTCTCAAACTTCCAACCTCAGGTGATCCACCTGCCTTGGCCTCCCAAGGTGTTGAGATTATAGGCATAAGTCACCACACCTGGCCTCCTGGAAGTTTTACATTTGCTCTATTTAATAATAAGTTAAGGCCGGGCGCGGTGGCTCACGCCTGTAATCCCAGCACTTTGGGAGGCCGAGGAGGGTGGATCATGAGGTCAGGAGATGGAGACCATCTCCTGGCTAACAGGGTGAAACCCTGTCCTTACTAAAAATACAAAAAATTAGCCGGGCATGGTGGCAGATGCCTGTAGTCCCAGCTACTCAGGAGGCTGAGGCAGGAGAATGGCGTTAACCCAGGAGGCGGAGCTTGCAGTGAGCCAAGATCGTGCCACTGCACTCCAACCTGGGCAACAGAGCGAGACTCCGTCTCAAAAAAAAAAAAATAATAATAATAATTAGTTAAAAGACCAATTGATAAGTGTGCTGGAGCCAGTCAAGGCTACCTTTGAATTCCATTAACTGTGTGATACTGAGAGAGTTACTTAAGATCTCTGGACCTGTTTCCTCCTCTCTAAAAAGAGTAACACTGGGAGATCATGGCCGTTGAATAAGATCACTAGTATAATGATATATTATCTGTAAATACCTTAGCATAGGGACTGGCTTTGTAATTGTTATCTATAACTATCAACATCACCATTATTATATTATTATATCATTGTTGGCCCCCATAGAATAAAATTAATAGTTTTGTGACAGTTATTTTCCTTTTCACGAAGAGGTCTTTTTACTTGCTTCTGCAGCCAAGCCAGTATTTAAGATAGCTTATGGATAAGTTAGGATGCTTTCAGTGGTTTGCAAATAACAGAAACCCCAAGTTAAACCGATATAACTGCAGCACTTAGGAGGTAAGAAGGACCCAGACATTGTCTGACTCTGTTCTTAGTGATTCTCTTGGCTCTGCCCTTCTGAGTGTTGTTTTCTTTTTTTTTTTTGAGATGGAATTTCACTCTTGTCGCCCAGGCTGGAGTGCAATGGCACAATCTCGGCTCACTGCAAACTCTGCCTCCTGGGTTCACACTATTCTCCTGCCTCAGTCTCCCGAGTAGCTGGAATTACAGGCGCCCACCACCACTTGCAGCTAATTTTTTGTATTTTTAGTAGAGATGGGGTTTCACTATGTTGGCCAGGCTGGTCTCGAACTCCTGACCTCGTGATCTGCCCACCTCGGCCTCCCAAAGTGCTGGGATTACAGGCGTGAGCCACTGCTCCCAGCCTGTGTGTGTGTGTGTGTGTGTGTGTGTGTGTGTGTGTGTGTGTGTGTATGTGGTGTATGATGGAGTTTCACTCTTGACACCCAGCCTGGAGTGCAATGGCCCGATCTCGGTTCACTGCAACCTCCGCCTCCCAGGTTCAAGCAATTCTCCTTCCTCAGCCTCCCAAGTAGCTGGGATTACAGGTGTTAGCCACTATGCCCAGCTAATTTTTGTATTTTTAGTAGAGACGGGGTTTCACCATGTTTGTCAGGCTGGTCTGGAACTCCTGACCTCAGGTGATCCACCTGCTTCAGCCTCCCAAAGTGCTGGGATTACAGGCATGAGCCCCTGCACCCGGCTGTGAGTGTTGTTTTCAACCCTATACTAATGTGCCTAGAATGAGGCAGCTGTTGACAGAACCTAAATCTACATGCTTTTCGTTCATGTCCAGGTGAAAAAAGAAAGAGTCCTGGTCACTACCATTCAGTTAGATCTTGAGATTTCTACTGACTGGGAAAATGGTTTTGTTCCATTTTAGGGTTTTGTTTGTTTCTTTGTTTGTTTTTGGTGGAACTTAATTAGCAGATTCTAAAAAGGATCAAGACAAAACACTATTGAATAAGGAGAACAAGGTGGGAGGACTTCCTGTAAAAGGAACAAAATAAAGAGCCCTCAAACATATCAATACATGACATTTGCTACATAACACTTGCTACATGACAGAGATGGCCTGCAGATGAGTGAGGAAAGAACAGGCTTTTTAATAAATGGTGCTGATAAAATTGAGCATCTATGTAGAAAAAATTGAAATTGCCCTCAGTCCTATATCAGATCGTGCACAATATTCAATTCCAGGTGGAAATGACCTAAGTGTAAAAGGAAAAACTATAAAGCTTTTACAAGATAAGACCTCAGGACAGGGAAGAATTTCTTGAACAAGACAAAAAGAGCACTAACTACAATGAAAAAGATTCATAAATTTGCTTACTTCTGAATTAAATTTTTTTGTTCATCAAAAGATACCACTGGGGCCAGGCATGGTGGCTCACACCTGTAATCCCAGCAATTTGGGAGGCCAAGGCGGGTGGATTGTTTAAGGTCTGGAGTTCGAGACCAGCCTGGCCAACATGGTGAAACCCCGTCTCTACTAAAAATACAAAAAATTTGCCCGGCGTGTTGGCAGGCACCTAGAATCCCAGCTACTTGAGAGGCTGAGGCAGGAGAATCGCTTGAACATGGAAGGCAGAGGTTGCAGTGAACTGAGATAGCACCATTGCACTCCAGCCTGGGCAACAAAAGCAAAACTCCATCTCAAAACAAAAACAAAAACAAAAGATACCACTGGCAGAGTAGAAGTCAAGCAGAATAGTGGAAGGTATTGAAATAGATAAAGAATTACTCAGTACCCAAACCATGTGAAGAATTCTCACAACGCAACAAGAAAAAGACGTATAACTCAGTAGTAAATGGACAAGAGGCTTGAACAGGAATGTCACAAGAAGGAAATCAAAGGTGCTCCTCCTCATCAGTAACCAGAAAAATGCAAATTAAAATTGATGCTGTCATTACATACCAGGGTAAAATTTTAAAAGATGAGCCTATCAAGTATTGGAGAGGTTCTTACTGGAGGTGGGAATGTAAATTGAATCATCCACTTTGGAAAACGGTTTGGCATATCTGTAAATATGGAGGTAAACATACCCTGTGCCTCAGCAATCCACTCCTAAGTGTATACCCTAGAGAAAATGATGCACAAATATTCAAAGCAGCATTACGCATTTGTAACCTCAAACTGGAAACAGCTCAATGTTCATCAACAGCAGAACAGATAAAGCCTTGGACAAGTTAACCATTATCAACTCTAATAAAAATAAGTAAATAATGATAATATTAATAGCTAACACTTATATAGGGCACTTACTATGTGCTAAATACTATCCTAGGGGTGTAATATATGACTATTAATATGTATAACATATATTAATATATAAATAATTATTACAAATACTAATACAGGATTTATTATGTGCTAGGTACTGTTCTAAACATAGTTCATATCTGTGGTCATTTTAGATTTACACTTACCCTATGAGGAAAGGACTGTTATTATCCTCATTTTTCAACTGAGGAAATTGAGGTCCAGAAGTTAACTAGCCAGGCATGGTGGCTCACGCCTGTAATCCCAGCACTTTGGGAGGCAGAGGCAGGGGGGATCACCTGAGGTCAGGAGTTCAAGACCAGCCCGCCCAACCTGGTGAAACCCCATCTCTACTAAAAATACAAAAATGAGCCAGGTGCAGTGGCGGGTGCCTGTAATCCCAGCTTACTCTGGAGGCTGAGGCAGGAGAATCGCTTGAACCCAGGAGGCAGAGGTTGCAGTGAGCTGAGTCGCACCACTGCACTCCAGCCTGGGTGACAGAACAAGACTCTATCTCGGGAAAAAAAAGAAGCAGTTAACTAGGCCATGAGGCCAGGCGCAATGGTTCACACTTGTAATCCCAGAACTTTGGGAATCCAAAGTGGGAGAATTGCTTGAGCCCAGGAGTTCAAGACCAGCCTGGGCAACATAGTGAGACTCCATCTCTATCAAAGAAAAAAAACCCTAGTGATATGGTTTGGCTGTGTCCTCACCCAAATCTCATCTTGAATTGTAGCTCCCATAATTCCCACATGTCATGGGAGGGACCCCGTGGGAGGTAATTGAATCATGGGGGCAGTTCTTTCCTCTGCTGTTCTCATGATAGTAAATAAGTTTCACAAGCTCTGATGGTTTTATAAACGGGAATTCCCCTGGACACACTCTTGCCTGCCACCATGTAAGACGTGACTTTGTGCCTCATTCACCTTCCACCATGATTGTGAGGTCTCACCAGCCATGTGGAACTGTGAGTCCATTAAACCTCTTTCCTTTATAAATGACCCAGTCTCGGATATGTCTTTATTAGCAGCATGAGAACAGACTAATACACCTAGCTGGGCATGGTGGTACGTGCCTGTGGTCCCAGTTATCTAGGAGGCTGAGGTGGGAGGATCACTTGAGCCCAAGAAATCGAGGCTGCAGTGAGTCATGATGGTGTCACTGCACTTTAGCCTGGGTTACACAGTGAGACCCTGTCTCTGAAAAAAAAAAAAAAGAAAAAAAAATTTTTTTGGCCAGGCACTGTGGCTCATTCCTGTAATCCCAGCACTTTTGGAGACTGAGGCAGGCAGATCACTTGAGGACAGGAGTTCGAGACCAGCCTGGCCAACATGATGAAACCCCATCTCTGCTAAAAACACAAAAATTAGCCGGGCATTGTGGTGCATGCCTGTAATCCCAGCTATTCAGGAGGCTAAGGCATGAGAATCACTTGAACCCAGGAGGCAGAGGTTGCAGTGAGCCAAGATCACACCACTGTGCTCCAGCCTGGCAATAGAGTGAGACTCTGTCTCAAATACTACTAATAATAATTTTATAAATTAATTAACAGACTATTAAACATTTTAAAGAAATTAAGTAAAGAGAGGCTCATGAATTTTTGTTGTTGTTTAGATGGAGTCTCGCTCTGTTGCTTAGGCTGGAGTGCAGTGGTGCGATCTCGACTCACTGCAGCCTCCACCTCCCAGGTTCAAGCAATTCTCCCAACTCAGCCTCCCACGTGGCTGGGATTACAGGTGCAACACCATGCCTGGCTGAATATTTTTTTAAAATAGAGGAGAAAGAGGGAAAAGTCCATTGTGGTTCCTGGTTATCTTAGGGGTAGTCTGAGGAAACCTGGAACAGATATATTTTTAAAAAACAGATTTTTTTTTTTTTTTGAGACAGAGTTTTGCTCTTGTTGCCCAGGCTGGAATGCAATGGCACGATCTCAGCTCACCACAACCTCTGCCTCCTGGGTTCAAGCAATTCCCTTGCCTCAGCCTCCCGAGTAGCTGGGATTACAGGTGTGTGCCACCATGCCTGGCTAATTTTGTATTTTTAGTAGAGACGGGGTTTCTCCATGTTGATCAGGCTGGTCTCAAACTCCTGACCTCAAGTGATCCGCCTGCCTCGGCCTCCCAAAGTGCTGGGATTACAGGTGTGAGCCACCACGCCACCACGCCTGGCCAAAACACAGATGTATTAAGATATAATTCACATACCGTAAAATTCACCCTTTCAATGTGTACAATTCAGTGGTTTTCATGATTATTCACAGAGTTGTACAACCATCACCATTATATAATTTTAGAACTTTTTACCTTTCAATACTCCAAAAAGAAACTCCCATCCACTCGCTGTTTGTTCCCTTTCTCAGTCCCTGCTTCCTGCCCCACCTCACCGGCCCTATCCCCAGGCAACTGCTAATCTGCATTCCGATGGATATGCCTATTGTGAACAATTCAAATAAATGGAATTATATAATATCTGGTCTTTGTGACTGGCTTCTTTCACTTAGCATTATGTTTTCAAGGTTCGTGTAAGTTGTATCCCGTATCAGTACTTCATTTCTTCTTATTGCTGAGTAATATTTCAATGTGTGGATATACCACCTTTTGTTTATCCATTCATCAGTGTGTGGCGCATTTGAGCTGCTTCCACATTTCAGCTATTATAATGCTGCTATGAATATTTGCGTATAAGTTTTTGTGTGAACATGTGTTTTCATTTCTCTTGATCATATTAAGAGTAGAGGCTGGGAGCAGTGGCTCACACCTATAATCCCCCTCAGTACTTTGGGAGATAGAGGCTGAAAGATTGCTTGAGTCCAGGAGTTTGAGACCAGCCTGGAAAACATAGGGAGATCCTGTCTTTACCAAAAATTAAAAAAAAAAAATAGCCAGGCATGGTGGCATGGGCCTGTAGTCCCAGCTACTCAGAAGGCTGAGGTGGGAGGATGACTTCAGCACAGGAGGTTGAGGCAGCAATGAGCTGTGATTGCACCACTGCACTCCAGCCTGGGTGACAGAGTTAGACCCTGTCTCAAAAAAAAAAAAAAAAAAAAAAAAAAAAAGGAATGGAATTGCTGGGTCATATGGTGTACTAAGGTATGAGGTTTAATTGACTCACAGTTCTGCAGGTTTAACAGAGGCATGACTGGGAGGCTTCAGGAAATTTACAATCATGGCAGAAGGCAAAGGGGAAGCAAAGCACCTTCTTCACATGGTGGCAGAAGAAAGAGCAAAGGGGGAAGTGCCACACACTTTTAAACCATCAGATCTCACTCACTATCATAGGACATCAGAACTCACTATCATAGAACAGCAAGGGGGAAATCTGCCCCCGTCATCCAATCACCTCCCATCAGGTCCCTCCCCCAACATTGGGAATTACAATTCAACATGAGATTTGGGTGGGGACACACAGCCAAACCATATCATATGGTAACTCTCCGTTTAAAGTTTTGAAGAACTGCCAAACTGTTTTCCAAAGTGGCTGCACCATTTTACATTCCCACCTGCAATGTACAAGCATTCCAGTTTCTCTGCATCCTCACTAACTCTTATTATGTCTATTTGGTTATAGCTATCCTAGTGGGTAAGAAGCGGTATTGTGGTTTGGAGCAGAGTTCATGACTGTAGATTGGATTTAACCTTGAACTCCACAAGTAAAGTCCCTTTCATCCTCAACCTTCACCCAGCCTCTGCCAAATCTCTCAGATCGCTGGTGGGAATGGGCTTCTGTTTGTGAGCAAGGATAGGCTTAAGTCAGTCCCACCTGTCAGACCCAGGCCTGCTCTATCCTTTGTGAGATATCCTCAAAAAAAATTGGGGTGGGGGTCTTAGAATCTACCCACTATGAAGGAAATTATTTTTCCTATGAACTCAGTCTGGCCCTGCCCATTTAGATAGGTTTCTATCCTCCTGTTGGAAGGAGCTAGACTCATTCTCCCTCAACTTTTCTAGATTCCCTCCAGAGAAACACTCTCACCTATGGAGGCTTCTCTTTATTGCCCTGGGAGGAATTTTTAGTTGGTCTTTGTTAGAAACAGGCATTTAAGTGTGGTTTTTTTTGTACACAGGCTGTAAATTCCACCTGCCACACTGACTCTGACTTCTATTTTAAAACTAACATATTCTCAGCTCTTCATCTGAAGGAATAGCCCTATGTTATTGTTGGTACATAACTGGGTGATGGGTGTAAAATGTCCTACTTTAGGAGCCTGTGTTGATGGCATTTTGAAGGGTGGTCCCCAAGGTACATGTATGTCTGGTGAGCCAAGAAGAGTCTAGAGATGTGAGTGCCACTAATATATGGAGGCTTGGCCATTGACTGGGTTCAGTTATCCTTCCTCTGCCAGTGATGAGATCGCCAGAGACACCACCCCCCTTGAGAAGGTGTCTGGGTAGGAAGTTCAAAGGCAGGTGAACAGATCAAAATCTCCCAACTTATTTTATATTATATTTTATTTTTTTGAGATAGAGTCTCACTCTGTCGCCCAGGCTGGAGTACAGTGGTACGATCTCAGCTCGCTGCAACCTCCACCTCCTGGATTCAAGCGATTCTCCTGCCTCAGCCTCCCATGTAGCTGGGATTACAGGTGCCGCCACCATGCCTGGCTAAGTTTTGTATTTTTAGTAGAGATGGGGCTTCACCATGTTGCCCACGCTGGTCTCGAACTCCTGACCTCAAGTGATCCACTGGCCTCGGCCTCCCAAAGTGCTAGGATTAGAGGTGTGAGCGACCATGCCCGGCCAAAATCTCCCAACTTTTAAATGTCTGGAACTAATTCAAAAGTTTTAAAGCATGTGAAGGACAAACAGAATATGTATGGGGGCCAGATTCAACCCACAAGTCCCAGATGTACCAGCCCATTGGTTTTGTATTTTTGTTTTTGTTTTTTGAGATGGAGAGTTTCGCTCTTGTTGCCCAGGCTGGAGTGCAATGGCGTGATCTCAGCTCACTGCAACCTCTGCCTCCCGGGTTCAAGCAATTCTCCTGCCTCAGCCTCCCGAGTAGCTGGGATTACAGGCACCCGCCACCATGCCCAGCTAATTTTTTGTATTTTTAGTAGAGATGGGGTTTCATATGTTAGCCAGGCTGGTCTCGAACTCCTGATCTCATGATCTGCCCACCTCAGCCTCCCAAAGTGCTGGGATTACAGGTGTGAAGCACTGTGCCCGTCCCAGCCCATTAGTTTTTAGGGCAAGACTATACAGACTTTAACTTTGAATTCCCCCAAATTAGTACAGGGTTTAGTACAGAGAAAGGACTTGATACATTTTTATACACTTTTGAAGAATAAATTGATATTTATTTAGTACTCAGTGTCAGCCAAGCACTTAAACACTTTACATTCATTACCCCATGGCATCCTCACAGCCTTCTGAGGTAGAAAGACTCACTGAAGGTTCAGTAAAGTGGGGAGGAAGGCACGACTTGAACTCAGGTCTGTCTGACTCCAGATGTCTTAGAAAGGTAGAATCTTTCACTTGGAAGACAGTATGGTTAAGATCATGTTCTCCGGGCCGGGCACAGTGGCTCACACCTGTAATCCCAGCACTTTGGGAGGCTGAGGCAGGAGGATTGCTTGAGCCCAGCAGTTCAAGACCAGCCTGGGCAAAATAGTGGGACCCCATCTCTGCAAAAAATAAGAAAATTAGCTGGGCGTGGTGGGCCTCGCCTGTAGTCCCAGCTACCTGAGAGGCTGAGGCAGGAGGATAGACTGAGCCCAGGAAGTCAAGGCTGCAATGAGCCGTGATTGCACCCCTGCACCCCAGCCTGGGCGATAGAGTGAGACCCTGTCTCAAAAAAAAAAAAAGAAAGATCATGTTCTCTGGGTTTAAGTTCCAGATTAGTCACTTTCTATTTGTCATCTTGGGCAGCTTACATATCTAAGCCTCCATTTTCTTATCTGTAAAGTGTGGATAAAAAGAGTTAACTACTCACAGGGCTGTTACAAGGAATAAGTGGGATAAATTGGCATAGAGAAGCTAATCAATAAATAATAACCATTATTATTATCCCAGTGTTTATCTCCTTAGGGTTATTAAATCACAGCCTTAGCCTACAAACAGGCATATTCTGGTGGAATATCTTGTTACTGGAGAAGAGAGGGAAGAAATGTAGGCAGTCACTTCAGCTATCAGATGGCTGCCTTCTGGGCCAACAGCACATTTGATAGGAATGAAAATGATCAAAACAAATGACAGGGCTCAGGGCAAGGGGCAAACTGTTCCCCTGCCAGGCTGTTTGATAGAAAAAGGAATGGTTTTCTTAGTTCTAAAGCTTCAACCACACTGGATCCTTGTGTTTTCACAACCCTTAAGGTTAGAGCCAACTTTCAAAAAGAATAATTAAATCGGGAAAGAAGTGGGGTCAGCAGGTTTCGTAGTGCTTTTAAACAGGAAGTCTCAGAACTCATGGAGGGAAGTAGCTGACAGCAAAACTGCTTTCCTACTCATCAACCCAAAGAACTGCTTAATTCCAGAAGAAGATAGAGGAGCACATCTCACCAAAGACAAGTTGACCCTAACTCTTAAATCATCTACAGCCAAAAAACTGATTCTGTACCTGGTTGATCATGCCTGTAAAAAATAAAAAATAAAAATTAAAAAAATTGATTCTGCCTATAAAATGACTGACATGTTTCAGAACATTTTTGACTTACTTAATAAAAATTACTGTTCTATTTAGTAATCATATAAAAACAGAGATTGCATTCATGATTTTAAAAATGAAATACCAAAATTAATATCCTGAAAGATGTGTACAATCTATATAAAGACAACTTCAAAATGTTATTGAAAGATATGAAGGAAGATTTTAATAAGTTAAAATCTAAACAGTGTTCCTGGCCAAAAGCAGTGGCTCACGCCTGTAATCCCAACAGTTTGGGAGCCCAAGGCAGGCAGATCACTTGAGTTCAGGGGTTCGAGACCAGCCTGGCCAACATGGCGAAACCCCGTCTCTACTAAAAATACAAAAATTAGCCAGGTGTGATGGTGCATGCCCGTAATCTCAGCTACTCAGGAGGCTGAGGCAGGAGAATCTCTTGAACCCAGGAGGCAGAGGTTGTAGGGAGCCAAGATCGTCCACTGCACTCCAGCCCAGGCAACAGAGCAAGACTCCAACTCAAAAACCAAAACCAAAACCAGTGTTCTTGAGTGAGAAGACATAAAATTGTAAAGATATTGGCTCTCTCAAAATTAATTTATGGACAATTCAACGCCAATCAAAATGCCTACAGATATTTTTCAATAGAATGCACAAAATAATTCTAAATTTCATTTGGAAAAAAATGAAGAGATACTATATTATACTTTTTATTCACTTATTCATTTTATTACTTTTGCATTTTACTTAACTTTGCTTCTACAGCTTTATTGAAATGTAGTTCACGCACCATAAAATCACCTTATTAAAGTATGCAGATTAGAGGCGTTTAGTATATTCAAAGTTGAACAACCGTCACCACTAATTTTTCAACCCTCCCCCAAAAGAAACTCATACCCATTAACAATTATTGACCTTTCCTAACACCCCCACAGGATTTGTTTATTCTGAACATTTTATATAAAGGTAATAATACAATATCTGGTCTTTTGTGACAGGCTTCTTTCATTTAGCATAATGTTTTCAAGGCTTCTGTAGTAACAAATTTAACCTTGTCCAAAGAGAGATCTGGCTTTTGTCCTTAGCTTCTTGGAAGTAATCTCTAAACTCCTGAAATGTCATGCCTAATAGGAATGTCTTTGTTTGCCTGAAGGTCTTGGGACTTTTCACTTTCTTTCTTTTTTTTTTTTTTTTTTTTTAGACGGAGTCTCGCTCTGTTGCCCAGGCTGGAGTGCAGTGGCACAATCTTGGCTCACTACAAGTTCTGCCTCCTGGGTTCACGCCACTCTCCTGCCTCAGCCTTCTGAGTAGCTGGGACTACAGGTGCCCGCCACTACACCCGGCTAATTTTTGTATTTTTAGTAGAGATGGGGTTTCACCATGTTAGCCAGGATCGTCTCGATCTCCTGACCTCGTGATCCGCCTGCCTCGGCCTCCCAAAGTGCTGGGATTACAGGCGTGAGCCACCATGCCCGGCCCTTCACTTTCTTGATGATGTCCTTTGAAGCACAAAACCTTAACTTTTGATTTAGTCCAATTTTTCTATTTTTTCCTTTGTTGTTTATGCTTTTTGTATCTTATCTAAGAATTCTTTGCCAAATCCAAGATCATGAAGATTGACCCCTGTGTTTTCTTCTAAGAGTTTTATAGTTTTAGTTTTCACATTTAGGTCTTTGAGTTATTTTGAGTTAATTTTTGTATAGGGCGTGAAGCAAGGGTCCAACTGCATTCTTTTGCATTTAGACATACAGTTTCCCAGCACCATTTGTTGAAAAAACTATGTCAATAATAGTTTTAGATGGTCTTGGTACCCTTGTCAAAAATCAGTTCACCATAAACATATGGGTTTATTTCAGGACTCTCAATTTTATTCCATTGATCTATGAATCTATCCTTATGCCAGTACCACACTGTCTTGATTACTGCAGCTTTGTAGTAGGTTTCTGAAATTGGGAAATGTGAGTTCTACAACTTTCCTCTTCTTAAATTTTTATTATAAAAATTTTCAGGGCTGGGTGCAGTGGCTTACATCACTTTGGGATGCCAGGCAGGAGGATCACTTCAGTCCGGGAGTTCAAGACCAGCCTGGGCAACATAGTGAGACCCTGTCTCTACAAAAAATAAATTAGCCAGGCCTGGTGGCACATGCCTGTAGTCCTAGCTACTTGGGAGGCTGAGGTAGGAGTATCGCTTGAGCCTGGGAGATTCGGGCTGTAGTGAGCCGTGATCATACCACTGAACTCCAGCTTGAGCAACAGAGTGAGACCCTGTCTCAAAAAAAAAAAAGAGATAATTTTCATATATATATAAAAGTTGAAACAATAGTTCAATAAACACCTATACAGTCCACACTCCCCCATCTAAGCTTAAATAATTGTTAACATTTTGCTTTCCCTTTCATGCTCTCTCACACTCTCTCACTATAAACACACACACACACACATTTTTTGTTGTTGAGATAAACTATTTGAAAGTAAATTGAGGCTGGGCATAGTGGCTCAGGCCTATAATCCCAGCACTTTGGGAGGCCAGGTGGATGGAGCACCTGAGGTCAGGAGTTCGAGACCAGCCTGGCCAACATGGTAAAACCTCGTCTGTACTAAAAACGCAAAAATTAGCTGGGCATGGTGGCAGGCGCCCATAATCCCAGCTACTTGGGAGACTGAGGCAGGAGAATCACTTGAACCCGGGAGGCAGAGATTGCAGTAAGCCAAGACTGCGTCACTGTACTCCAGCCTGGGTGACAAGAGCAAAATTGTGTCTCAAAACAAAAAACAAACAAAAAAGAAGAAAGTAAGTTGACACATTTCATCCCCAAATCCTCTGGCATGCATCTCCCAAGAATAAGAACGTTCTTCTACTTAACCACAATGTCATTAATACTCCTAAGAAATTTAGCAAAAATTCTACAATGTTGTCTATTATCACTCCATATGCAACTTTCTCCAAATGTCCCAAGAATATTTTTTATAGTTTTCCCCAACTGAACCAGAATCCCATCAAGGTTTACTAATTTTATGTGTCATGTCTCATCAATCTGTTTTCATCTATTCTATTCACATCCATTCCATGACATTGACATTTTGTAGAGTCTCAGTCAGTTGTCTTGTAGAATGTCTCACATTCTGGATTTTACTGATTGTTTCCTCATGCTTTTAAACTTGTTACTCTATCCCCTGAATTTCTTGTGAACTGGACATTAGGTCTGGTTTGATCAGAAAATTGGTGAACTTCCGGCCAGGTGCAGTGGCTCATACCCGTAATCCCAGCACTTTGGGATGCCAAGGTGGGTGGATCACTTGAGGCCAGGAGTTCAAGACTAGCCTGGCCAACATGGTGAAACCCCATCTCTACTAAAAATGCAAAAATTAGCCAGGCGTGCTTGCTCATGCCTGTAATCCCAGCTACTCGGGAGGCTGAGGCAGGAGAATCGCTTGAACTAGGGAGGCAGAGGTTGCAGTAAGCCGAAATCGCACCACTGCACTCCACCCTGGGCAACGGAGGAAGACTCGGTCTAAAAAAAAAAGAAAGAAAGAAAGAAAGAAAGAAAGAAAGAAAGAAAACTGGGGAACTTCCTATTAAAAGCACCTAGTGTCAGATTGTTCCACTGTTAGTGAAGCAAAAGTGATGACAGCCAAATCTCTCCATCGTAAAGATACGTTATTTCTTTCGCAGTTCCTAAGTAATCATTGGCTCTAGCCTTTTTAACTATGCTTTAATGCAAACCAATATTTTAATTAAAAAAAAATTTTAAACATTGAGAGGGCACGTAAAACACATCCAAAAAGTAAGAACGGTGTGGTGGAGCAGCTCTACTTTTTATCAGAGAATGATTATAATAATATAGCCATAATAACTAAAGCATAATGGCATCAGAGCATAAAATACTGGCATTGAAGTAAATTTAAAAAAACATCCTATAGTAGAAAATGTTAGTGGGAAGGTACCCCAGAAATAAAATTGAGTTCAACTGCCTCACTTTGCAGATGCAAAACCTGAACCTTAATAAATTAAGGCCAATTCATTAAAGCCAGAAAGCATAATTAATTTTTGAGCGCTTACTCTATGCTGGGCATTTTTCTAAGCACTTCACATGATTAACTCATTTAATCCTCCCAATAGCTTTATTGAGGATAAGTTATACTGATTCCACGCCCCTCACCCTTTTTATTGGCCAGTGAGAAAACTGAGACAGAGAGAAGTGACTTATCCAGAATCTACAGCTCATAAATTAGGGAGCTGGGATCAGAAGGCAGGAAAGCTGACTCCAGAATATGTGCTTAACTTGTCCTCCCTACCACCTCACAAGCTATATTACTTGTGGCTACATAGCCACACCTACTTAGGAATCAAATTAGGCCCTAGGTTCTCTGAGAACAATTCTACTCTCTATCCAGAATTCTAAGACTGGAGTGAATTGATTGCTTCTTGCAACCTGGCGCATTACTGATTCCAGCATGCACTGGGCTCTCTACATGAGCAGGCAGCTGCTAATTACCTATGATAATGAGGGATGGATAGGCACTGAAGATTCAGCATAGCTTAACACCAAACCCCCTCCCCAACAAAACCAAAGAAAGCACTAGGCCTTTGGGTATAATATTGTATCACGTTTGCAGTAGATTTGCTTTCTTAATTGTTTTGATAGGATTGCTATTAAAGTCAGTTTCTATTCTTTACACACCCCCAAAACAGCGAGGGACTATGACTGGTGGAAATGCCTTGCATGATGTGCCTCTGTGGAAAATGAGAGTGGATTGCAAAAGCTCTTCTCCACCCTGTTCTTTCAATCCTGCATCCCAGGTCTTGGTCTATGTCTTACTGATTTCCCATGTTAATTATTTTAACCTTGTCCTCAGTAGCCTCCTTTGTCTCTCATTGCCATAGAAACCCATTCTGCCTTAAGAATTGTCTTTCTTGCCTGTTCCTTTGACCCAGGCCCTCTACTTAAGTCCTCCTTCAGCTGCAAATCACCTGCTGAACTAAATCTAAGCTCCTTGATCTTGGCTTCCAGGACGTTCTATAATTTGCTTCTCTGTTTTTCTCCTTTTAGAAATAATACATTCCTGGAGCAGAGGTTGAAGTAGATCACTGTCAACCAAAATATTAACTGTAATAACTAACATATTTACATAGTACTTAAGAGTTAAGTAAAAACATATCCACCTACATTACCTCATTTAAGGCTCATACTCTGCTGTATTGTATATAATTATTTTACATTTATATAAATATAGGTAAAGCAGATAACATGATCAGCATTTTAAGTTCAATAAAACTGGGGCCCAAATAAATTAAATGACTTGCCCTATAAGAATTTATTGGTGCTGAAGCTACATCTTTTTTTTTTTTTTTTTTTTTTCTGAGACAGTTTCACTCTTGTTGCTCAGGCTAGAGTGCAACGACGCACGATCTCGGCTCACCACAACTTCCGCCTCCCGAGTTCAAGCGATTCTCCTGCCTCGGCCTCCCGAGTAGCTGGGATTACAGGCAAGCACCACCACGCCCGGCTAATTTTGTATTTTCAGTAGAGACGCAGTTTCTCCATGTTGGTCAGGCTGGTCTCAAACTCCCGACCTCAGGTGATC
This sequence comes from Homo sapiens, assembly GCF_000001405.40. NCBI lineage: Eukaryota > Metazoa > Chordata > Mammalia > Primates > Hominidae > Homo > Homo sapiens. The sequence goes on along the minus strand of NC_000014.9, from coordinate 77,762,835 downwards.
TGCCCGCCTCAGCCTCCCAAAGTGCTGGGATTAAAGGCACAAGCCACCACACCCAGCCAAAGCTACATCTTAAACTCTAATCTTCGGGCTCCCAGGCCATGCAGGTTATATTACACAATGTGATTAACAATCCTGTATTTACCAAAAGATTTTTTCTTTTTGTTTTTTTGGTTTACATGCTGTGGCAGGCAGAATTCTAGGATATCCCCCAAGATCTCCTCCTCACCCAACCCCCACAGTACCTGACCTACATAACCCCTGGGGCCATGACTATGAAGATTCTGATTCTGTTATGCGGTGTGGCAGAGTTGATTTTTTTTTTTTTTTTGAGACAGAATTTTACTTTGTCACCCACGCTGGAGTGCAATGGTGCAATCTCGGCTCACTGCAACCTCCACCTCCTGGGTTCAAGCGATTCTTGTACCTCAGCCTCCCAAGTAGCTGAGAAAACAAGAGCACATCACCACACCCAGCTATTCTTTTATATTATTTATTTATTTATTTATTTATTTATTTTTATTTTTTGAGACGCAGTCTCACTCTGTCGCCAGGCTGGAGTGCAGTGGCGTGATCTTGGCTCACTGCAACCTCCGTCTCCTGATTCACACGATTCTCCTGCCTCAGCCTCCCCAGTAGCTAGGACTACAGGAGCGCGCCACAACGCCCAGCTAATTTTTGTATTTTTAGTAGAGACAGGGTTTCACCATGTTGCCCAGGCTTTGTCGAACTCCTGAGCTCAGGCAATCCGCCCGCCCCGACCTCCCAAAGTGCTAGGATTACAAGTGTGAGCTACTGCGCCCGGCCAAGAGTTGATCTTAAAATAGGGAGATTATCCAGGTGCTCCTGATCTAATCACATGAGCCCTTTAAAAGCAGGGCATTTTTCTCCAACAGTGGCAGAAGAGGAGTCAGAAAGATGTGCCTCAGAAAGCAAATATCCATGTTGTGAACTACCAATAAATAGGGCTCATGTGGGAAGGACTCGAGAGTGACCCCTAGGAGCTGAGGGTGGCCACCACTAACAGCACAAAACAAAACAGGGAACTCGATCCCACAACCGCCAGGAACTGATTTTTGCCAACAAGAATGAGTTAGGAGATGGATTTTTCTCCAGAGCCTCCTATGAGATTTCAGCCTTGTCATACCCTGGGCAGAGAACCCAGACACTCGGTAAATTACCAAGGATTACGAAATATCTCCCCAAGAGAGTGTTTTGGCGGGTGAGAGGATATGGTTTAAAGAAAAGTTTTGAGTGTGAATGTTTTCAGAGAGTCCAAGGACTCTCCATTAGCTAGTCTCATTATTACCTGTCGTTTTAAACGCCCTATCACTCTTACTTAAAGTAGCTGTCCCCGGGAAGCTTTTGTATTTTGTACCCCTTCTCGGGGAACGGGACTGAGTAAGGAACGTAATAAAGCGGCCTAAAAGGCATCTCCCTGTATCTTTGATATTTTGCCTAGGGAACGCCCTATCATGTCGCATATAAGCGATCGAGTTATGCATTTGTTGCTAGCTGAAGAGATTATTCCTTGATAACCGCTTGGTCTGGTCAGAATACAAACGGTACTCCTGTTCAAAGAACTACAAATCCCAGAAGGCCTTTTCGGCCAGAGCGCCTGCGCATCGCGCACTCCTTCCTTTCCGCTCCTCATCATCTGGAAAGACCCGCCCAGCGGTGCTGTCGCTCGCGCTGGAAGAAGCGGAAGAAGATGGCGCTCACCAGGTGGGTTGTTGATTGGGGTCCTCGATACGGAAGGGTCTGGGAGTACCAGTCTTCTTCATTTCTCTTCCCATACCCTCCGGGCGGTGACCTGACCCGGGGCACAGAATGACGTGGGCCAAGACTACGGCTACGCCCTCCCGCTGGCCGCCGCTACGACTAGGCCTAGTCGAAGCTGGGGTCTTTCAGCGGTTTCCCGGGTTTAGTTCACCCGCTCACCGAGGCCGAAAGCTGCGGAGTGGTCTCAGACACTGAAGAGTGGGTTTTTCGCGTGAGCATCTTGCGGGGAGCGGACAGCGCTCCCTCAGGTCCGCGGCTCGGGCGAACGAGATGGGGTTGGTGACGGTAGTGGCTTATTTGGGCGGAGTGAAGCGCGCGGGCTGCGACTGCGCGGCTTTCCGGCCGTTTGCCTGTGGTGGTCTCTCTCCTTTCGCTGTCCACTGGGTGTCCCGAAACAAGGATTCCTGAAAAAAGAGGCCCGGAGCTGAACACAGATTTAAATGAGCCACAGTAGTGACCGCCGTCTGCTGATATGCGCCACTGCTCCGCATTTTAACTTTGGAGCTTAGAATTTCTTCCGTAGATAGAACCACCTCAGTTTTGCTGTTTCCGGTTACCTTAGTAACCGTCTGTAAAGTGCTCTCCGCCTTTAAGAAAAAGATGCTTTTCAGTGGGAGAGTCCGAGAAGTTACGCTACTCCTACTAGTTCCCAGCCTTGCTGCCCCATTTTAAGTGGAAAAACTTTCCATGCGAACTCAACAGGAAAAGGCTAGTGTTCAGGAAGGTTATAGATAAAGTAATCCTTTCAGGACATCAGCTTGAGCTCTTTTAACACCCTTCATTCTCCTCACGCATGTTTTTTTTTCTGGCTGATGACAGTATGACTCCAAAAGTTTTAATCAAAAAATTATTTTGGGAATTACTGTTGGTGCCTTGCTCTGTCCTGGGGGTTGTGTACACAGAAGAAAATCTGTCTTTGGCAACAGGGAAGATAGGGGTGCAAGGTATACAGACATAAAACAATTACAGAACACAAAATGTGCATTTGTGTAATACTAACCTTAGTGCAAAAAGAATTGAATGGAATAAGTTATGTGGGCTGGAGAGTTTTCTCCCCACCCTCGTTTCTAAAATTTTTTTGCTTTTTTTTTTAACTTTATTTTTTGAGATGCGGTCTCGCTGTGTTGGCCAGGTTGGTCTTGAATTCTTGGCCTCAAGCAGTCCTCCTGTCTCGGCCTCCGAAAGTGCTAGGATTACAGGCATGAGCCACCATGCCCGGCATCTGAAATTTTTTTAAAAAAAAACTAGAAATAGGGTGTTACTGCGTTGGCCAGAGTGGTCTCCAACTCTTGGCCTCCATCAATCTTCTCACCTAGGCCTCCCAAAGTGCTGGGATTGCAGGCATGAGCTACCATGCCCAGCCAAGAGTTTGTTTAGTAAATGTTACAGGCAGCAAACATTTGAGTGCTCCCCAGGTGTGAGACACTGTGTCATAGACTAGTAAAGTTATGAGGGGAGACTTTGTGGAAAAGGTGGAATTTGAAATGGACACACAGGAAAAATTTCTAGAGATGTCATGGGTATTTTTTATTTATTTTATTTTTTGATATAGGGTCTCACTCTTGCCCAGGCTGGAGTGCAGTGGCCCAATCACAGCCCACTGCAGCCTCAACCTCCCAAGGCTCAGGTGATCCTCCTGCCTCAGCGCCCTAGAGTAGCTGGGACTCTAGACGCTTGCCATGATGCCCAGTTAATTTTTGTTTTTTTTAGTAGAGATGGGGTTTTGCCATGTTGCCCAGCCTGGTCTTGAACTGGGCTTAACTGATCTGATCTACCCATCTCAGCCTCCCACAGTGCTGGCATTACTGGCGTGAGCCACCACATCATCTGGCCTGTCATGGGTATTGCGTGCTTAAAATTGCAGTGGCAGAATGCGATCTTTAAATGGCCAGTCTTGAGGACTCCAGAGCTTTCCATACCTACCATCTGGTGTTCCTCAGTATTCTTTGTAATATCCTTTAAATCAGTAAACACATTTCCCTGAGTTCTGTGAGCTGCCCTAGCAAATTAGTTGAACCTGAAGATGAGGTCATGGGAACCCTGGTTTGTAGTTAGTTGGCCAGTGGCCTTGGACCTACTGTTGGCATCTGAAGTAAGGGCAGTCTTGTGGGACTGAGCCTTCAACCTGTAACATCTGACAGTATCTCCAGGTAGATAACATCAAAATTGAATTGAATTAGAGGACACTTGACTGGTGTCCAGTAGACACAGTTGATAGCTTGCTTGATATGTGGGGAAAAACCATCACACATCTGGTATCAGAAGTGTTGTGTGTTGTTGATTGTTGAGTGAAATAATAGGAGAAACTGAGTTTGTTTTAATTTTATACTCTATCCACATGGAGCTTACACTCTAATGGGACAGAATTGGAATTCTAGTGGGACAGAATTCTAATTAGCTTACATTCTAATGGGACAGAGTGAGTAAAATCATAATGCAATTTCACGTAATACATGCTAGGAATAAAATAAAGACCGGGTTAGAGAGTGACTCAGAGTTTGGGGTGAAGTGGCTATTTTGGGTAAGGTGGTCAGAAAACAGCTCTAGAGAGAGGTAACTGAGCAGAGACAAGAGTGCTGAGATGCAAGCTGTTGAAAGATCTGGGGCTACTCTAGGCATACTGCCTGTGGGATAGCCCTGCCCAGCAAGGAGCAATCAAAAAAGAAAAGATCTGGAGATCTGGAGAAGAATTTTCTATAAAAGCATACGAAAATTTGTTCTTTTTTTTTTTTTTTTTTTTTGTGGCAGAGTCTCACTCTCACCCAGGCTGGAGTGCAGTGGAGCAATCTCAGCTCACTACAAACTCCACCTCCCAGGTTCAAGTGATTTTCCTGCCTCAGCTGGGATTACAGGCGTCCGCCACCACGCCCGGCTAATTTTTGTGTTTTTAATAGAGACAGGGTTTCACTATATTGGCATGGCTGGTCTCGAACTCCTGGCCTCAAGTAATCCACCTGCCTTGGCCTCCCAAAGTGTTGGAATTACAGGTGTGAGCCACCTCGCCCAGCCGGAAAAATTGTGATTGATTGCAATAGATAGATAGATAGAGAAAAATTGTGATTGATTGATTGCAATAGAGAAAAATTGTGATTGATTGATTGCGATAGATAGATAGATAGATAGATAGATAGATAGATGATTAGATTGATTTGATGGCAGAAGGAATAGCCAATGTAAAGATCCTGAGATGGCTTGTTTAAGAAAAGATAAGAAGGCTGTAGTGAAATAAAGATGGTGAGTGCTGGGGAAGAGTGTATTTATTTCTCCTACAACATTTAAGGAGCTCGAGCTGTGAGCTAGAAGTCTTGGAGCATTAGGGATGAAAGAAGCATAAGGCGTGATTCCTGCAGAGCTGCTCACAGTCTCATGAAAACAGAATAGTTAAATGAGTAGATGATTGCAATACAGTAAGGTAATGTTGTAGTAGTGGTATGTAGAGCGTTTTGGGGGAGCATAGAGACAGGCAGTTAACCCAAACTGGAGGAGTCATGGAACAGCCCTGAAATAATCAAACATACAGAACCTGTATTGAAAGTGTCTAGATACTATACCAACTGGTTCATGGATTTCTCTCATTTAATACTTATAAGAACCTTATGAAGTAGATACTCTTATGAACTATTATTACAGATGAGAAAACAGATTCAGAGAGGTAAGTAGCTTATCCAGGTTAGTAAGTGGCATAGGTCGGATCTGAATTCTGAGCCTAGCCATCACTTACCTCCCCAGACTGGATTAGATCCCTCTCATGTAGACTGTCATAGCATCTATATTTTTCCATCATAACTTAACATAATGTGTAATTATAGATTTGTGTGATTTTTTTTTTTTTGGTCTCTGTCTGCAAGACTAAGCTGTCTTTCTCCATTTATAGTCTCATGCCTAGCATAGTGCTTGTACCCAAATAATAAATATTTTTGAATAATTAATAAGCTCTGCTACTTAGGTATGCTTACTATCCAAGAATCACAAAGGAACTAAGGTTATTTTCTCCATATTCATCCATCAGGATCCTTTTGTAATACTTTGGAGTATCACTGTAATACTTTAATACTTAAAAGTTGTTAAGAACCATTTAGTAGAAAGGTTACCTTGACTAAAGAATAAGCTGCATCTTCAGGGCTTCTGCTTTGATTCTTTGGCCTCTAAGGGTTTTTTTGTTGTTGTTTGTTTGTTTGAGATGGAGTTTTGCTGTTGTTGCCTAGGCTGGAGTGCAATGGTGCAATCTTGGCTCACTGTACCCTCCACCTACCGGATTCAAGTGATTCTCCTGCCTCAGCCTCCCGAGTGGGATTACAGGCGCACACCAGCACGCCTGGCTAATTTTGTATTTTTAGTAGAGACAGGGTTTCACCATGTTGATCAGGCCGGTCTTGATCTCCTGACCTCAAGTGATCCACCCACCTCGGCCTCCCAAAGTGCTGGGATTACAGGTGTGAGCCACCATGGCTGGCCTGGCCTCTAAGTTTTAAATTTCATTGTAGATACCCTTGACACTTAAATATGCAACTTGTGTTTATTTTATCCACCTCTTTTTTACATTCAGTTTTAATCCTAGTTCTTTTGTATTTACACTGAAGTAGTTTAAAGTAAGGAGCATAATGGTAAAAATGTTAAAAACAAGGAGTAGCCAGGCGTGGTGGCTCATGCCAGTAATCCCAGTACTTTGGGAGATGGAGGCTGATGGATCACTTGAGGTCAGGAGTTCGAGACCAGCCTGACCAACATGGGCCAACATGGCAAAAACCAGTCTCTACTAAAAATACAAAAAATAGGGATGTGGTGGCATGCACCTGTAATCCCAGCTACTCGGGAGGCTGAGGCATGAGAATCACACGAATCCAGGCGACAGAGGTTTCAGTGAGCCGAGGTTGCACCACTGCACTCAAGGCTGGGCGACAGAACGAGACTCTGTCTCAAAAAAAAAAAGGAGTATAAGAATAGCAAGTATATACTGGACAGTTTATCCCTGAAGTATTAGGAATGTTTACTTGTTTGTTATAAGAAATATGGAAACAGGCTGGGCGTGGTGGTTCACACCTGTAATCCTAGCACTTTGGGAGGCCGGGGCGGGCACATCACCTGCGGTCGGGAGTTCGAGACCAGCCTGGCCAACATGGCGAAACCCTGTCTCTACTAAAAATACAAAAATTAGGTGGGCGTGGTGCTGCACATCTGTAATCCCAGCTACTTGGGAGGGTGAGGCAGGAAAATCACTTGAACCCAGGAGGTGGAGGCTGCAGTGAGCTGAGATGGTGCCACTGCACTCTAGCCTAGGTGACACAGAGAGACTCTGTCTCAAAAAAAAAAAAGGAAAGAAATATGGAAATACGGAAGCATGGCCAGGTGTGGTGGCACACGTCTGTAATTCCAGCACTTTGGGAGGCCAAGGTCAGCGGATCACTTGAGGTCAAGTTCAAGACCAGCCTGGCCAACATGGTGAAACCCCATCTCTACTAAAATTGCAAAAATTAGCCTGGTGTGGTGGCGCATGCTTGTAATCCCAGCTACTTGGGAGGCTGAGGGAGGAAAATCACTTGAACCCAGGAGGCAGAGGTTGCAGTGAGTGGAGATGACACCACTGTACTCCAGCCTGGGCAACAGAGTGAGACTCTTTCTCAAAAAAAAAAGGAAATATGGAAGCATAAACGCTTAAGAGTTTGTCTGTTATGTGAAATATCTGTTAATTTTTTATTCTGGACATCATTTGCTGTTGTCCTAGTCAGATGTTTTTACTGTGTATCTTTGAGTACTTCTGTCTTCCACATATTATAAAATGGCTAGTATTGAGTACTACCATAAATCATTGAAAAATCTGCTCTTTTTCTGAAAAGTAAAAGCATCGTAGGAAAAATTGTCTCTGTGGCCAAGTTGCAGTGGTCAAATTAAACATAAGAGTTTTTTAAATTTCTGACTTTTATTATCTTTGCTTATAGCTTTTTACCTGCACCTACTCAGCTATCTCAGGACCAGCTTGAGGCTGAAGAAAAGGCAAGATCCCAGAGATCACGGCAGACCTCACTGGTCTCCTCCCGAAGAGAACCTCCCCCGTACGGATACCGGAAAGGCTGGATACCTCGGTTATTAGAGGTACATATAGATCTTAAGTTTAGATTTGTTAAATTGTGCTGAAATTTATTATAGCACACTATAACATAAATTTAAATGTTAGAACCTCTGATTATGAATGTCAGTGTGATAGAAATTCTGGTTATGTGCTCTCAAGATGTATATTTCCCTCAGAAGATGTATCATTTTCTTTTTGCTTATTATCTATCACTGCTTTGTGGTCACTAGAGAACTGTACCATTTGTCTATTCCTATATCAAACTATTAAATATTTACAAGAAAACTAATATTTTATAAATTCAGGAATTACGGAAAATAATGGGAAAGTAAAAGATAAGAGAGATGAAAGTGGTTTTCATATTTGGGCTCCTCCTCCTCCTCCTCCCCTCCGATAATACCACATAACCCTGAAGAGACAACTTTCCTTCAGGGAAAACTCCAGTAGCACTTCCTTTGCTGATTTCTTTCTCTTCACCTGTTTTCTTACCTTTAATTTGAGAATGTTAATATATATCTGATATATAGATTAAATATATTTTTGCGGGTATAAGACAAAATTTGGTTGATTTGAAGGCAATGAGGGAGAAGGAACCATCTGGAATAGCTCTTTCTATCTCTAGCTTGTTGCCAAATAACAAGCTTCCGGTCGGGCGCAGTGGCTCACACCTGTAATCCCAGCACTTTGGGAGGCCAAGGCGGGCAGATCACCTGAGGCCAGGAGTTCGAGACCAGCCTGACCAACATGGAGCAACCCTGTCTCTACTAAAAATACAAAATTAGCCAGGTGTGGTGGCGCATGCCTGTAATCCCAGCTACTCCGGAGGCTGAGGCGGGAGAATTGCTTGAACCTGGGAGGCAGAGGTTGTGGTGAGCCAAGATCGCACCATTGCACTCCAGCCTGGGCAACAACAGCAAAACTCCATCTCAAAAAAAATAAAAAATAAAAATAAAAAGAACAAGCTTCCTTGGCAGCACCTATTCTAATTACTCAGGATCCTTTACATTAATTAATTAATTTTTATTTTTTTTATTTTTGGGATGGAATCTCGCTCCGTTTCCCAGGCTGGAGTGCAGTGGTGCGATCTTGGCTCACTGCAGCCTTCGCCTCCTGGGTTCAAGCGATTCTCCTGCCTCAGCCTCCCAAGTAGCCAGGATTACAGGCACGTGCCACCACATCCAGCTAATTTTTTGTATTTTTAGTACAGACAGGGTTTCACCATGTTTGCTAGGCTGGTCTTGAACTCCTGACTTCAGGTGATCCACCTGCCTCGGCCTCCTAAAGTGCTGGGATTACAGGTGTGAGCCACCGCGCCTGCCCCACACTCTTTATTAGAGTTTATAAGAGGAACACCCAACTAGATCATATCTTGTCCTATGTATTCCAAAAAACCCACATGTAGGTCTTTTTGTTGCTTTTTTGTCAGCTTTCCTCTGGTCCTTATGAATGCTGGTGTGTGAAGGCCAGTCATATTGCAATTATTAAGGGATTTTTGTTGCTTTTGTTCTCTCTGATAGTGTTATTTATGGGAGGCAGAGGAAGATGAAAGATTATCAAGGAGTCTTACCTGGGGCAAAAAAGTAGTGATTGGCATCATCTAATAGAGCAGTTGAGTGTCTCTGTTGAGGCATTATAAATATTGTTTGGTCTGTCAGTACATTGCACAATGAGGGTGACAGGCATCATCTTACATAGAATGTAAATCTCATCCATGCATTTCAGCATTACGATACTTGGTTGCTATTAGATTTTTAGATTCTTACTTGGCTATCAGTGGTTTCATATATCCTGGTGAAACAGAACAACTTATTTGAAAATCAAGTTGAAATGGCTAGCTAATCTGGAAATGCTATGGATGCTGCTTGAGGGGAGTGAATGTTCTGTGGAAGAAGGCATTTTGTTCTAGTTTTCAAAATAAAAGCTATGATTTTCTGGCAAGCTTAATGACCACATAATGCTACAGCTACAGTTCTGAAGTACTTATTATAGTTGAAAAACTCTAGCAAATCCAAGCATGTGTCAGATTGATGGCTTGGGTACGGGAAGCACTTATCTTAGGAATGCTTTAACTCTTTCTCATTTACAAGAAAATGTCTCTCAGCTTTATTCTCTTGGTTTTCAAAAACTTCAAACATCTCTTTAGCAAATAAGCATATTGTACTTAGGAACTCATATATCTTAGATCTAACGGAGTATTACTTAAAGAGGTCTTGTAAAAGTGAATATTTTCTTTTTTTTCCATCAAACCCCCTCTAAATGATTAATTTTAATTTGTGTTTTCTATTATTTCTTAATAGTACTCATTTGGCTGTTTTGAGCTAAAAGAAAGGTATTTCATAGTAGTAGAAAATACAAAGCTTTTCGGAGTCTCAAAAGATCTGGGTTCAGGTGCTGCATATAATACCTATGAGATCTCAGGAACACCGCTTAATTTTTCTAAGCCTGAATGTTTCCATTTAAAATGATGTTAAAGAGTTACAAGGATTAAATGAGATAATACATGTGTGAATCATGTTTAAAGTGTACTAAGCAAATACTACTGAATTTTTTTTAACTACTTAAAAATTATACTTGATCCTCATGTTTATTTGATAAACCTTTTTAAAATACTACATTTCATCAGCAAACTTTATTTAGCTTGTTCTACTTTAGCAGTCTCAGTTCTCTCTCCTAAATAATTATGTATAATCACTAGTAGAAATGTAGTAAACTCATTTCTGGATCCTTCCTATTGTATTCATTTGCTTCTCACATAACAATGAATAAATAATATGTTAATAAAATCTGATTCCAAGAAAAAATCTTTTATATTTCTGCCCCAAGTATAGCTTTACCTGTTCCTCACTAAAATATGTATTTATATGCTAAAATATATACACATATATTTTGCCTTGTCCTAGCCATTTTACTTAGTTTCGTCCTGCATATATGAAATCCACATTTTCTTGCTGTAGCATGTAAGTCCCTTTGTGATCTGGTGTTTTTTACTCATGTAACTTGTGCCTCAAGCTCTGCTGTCCTTATTAAGCTGTTAGCCCCACTGAATTCTCATTTCCTAAAATATACCAAGCTCATTCTTGCAGCAGGGCCTTTGCATTGGCTATTTGATCCATCTAGAAAATGCTTTGTGTGTGTGTGTGTGTGGTGTGTGTGTGTGTGTGTGTGTGTGTGTGTGTGTGTGTGTCTTCCCATGACTGCTTTCTAATCATTCAGGCTTTAGCTCACATGTTACTTCTTCACAAAGGCTGTCCCCAACCACCCTATCAAAAGTAGCCCCTTTTCCCAGTCTTTTTCTTTTATATTACCTTCATGGTACTTATCACAAGCCAAAGAATGTGTTTTTTATATCTTTGCCTACTAGAATGTAAACTCCACAAGAGGCAGGGAACTCTGCTGTATCTCTAGCATCTAGCATACTAAGGACTCAACAATTACTTGTTGAATGAATGAATATATCTTGAATGTCAAATGATGATTAACTATTTTATTTAACTACTTCTAATGTGTAGGATTTTGGAGATGGAGGTGCTTTTCCAGAGATCCATGTGGCCCAGTATCCACTGGATATGGGACGAAAGAAAAAAATGTCGAATGCGCTGGCCATTCAGGTGGATTCTGAAGGAAAAATTAAATATGATGCAATTGCTCGACAAGGACAGTCAAAAGACAAGGTAATCCTCTCATGTTTTCCCTGAATGATAAATATTTTAGGAAACATTTTAAATTTTGTGGACACGATAAATCTCTTGCTGTTTGAATTATGTTAAAAGTAGCAGTGGCTGGGCATGGTGGCTCGTACCTATATTCCCAGCTACTTGGGAGGCAGAGGTAGGAGGTTTGACTGAGCCCAAGAGTTTGAGGATACAGTGAGCCACTGCACTCTTGCTTGGGTGGCAATACCTTGTTTTAAAGGGGGAAAAAAGTACATTTTAAAACAGTTACTTTATATTACTAGCATTCTAAAACTGCCAGTAAATTTTTAAAAATCTGCAACCCCAGAGCCTTACCATCAACTTTTAATTTATCCTGTAGTTTCTTCTAGTTTTTTCCTATAGTCTTGACTCATTTCCTCCATGTACTTAGAGTACTTACATGTACTCTATTACAAGTATTTAATAGTTTATTTGAGTATAATAAATTACACAAACTTCTTTTGCCCTAGATTAAGTACAAAACTAGCATTTGCTATCCAGATTTAGGATGGCCCTGCTACGAAGTAATCCATAGGCCAAAAATAAAATTTGCTTAAAATAATCTCATCACAGAACAGCTACACTCAGGGCCAAGGAACTATTTTTAAGAAGACCTAGTTTTTTTTTTTTCTTGTAAATAAATACTCAAGATAGAAGTGAAAGATTTCCTTAGAACTGATGATGTTTGGAAAAATACTTGAGAGCTTTCAGTGCCTATCATTGGCCTCTCTCTCCCCGCCAAACTTTTTCAATTTACCCTCTAAAATAGCACTAACAACCCATCCTTTGCTTCTGCATCATGGCTGCTGAGCTTTGGGGGAAGACAATTATGCAATCATGCAGATTTATATCTCCTATTTCAGCTCAGCTCCCTTGGTACTCCCACCAAACTTTAATTCCTACTCCTTTCATCCCATCTCATCCTTAGCAGGTGACTCCCCCATCTATTTGAATATAAAGACTATTGGAAGACAATTGTCAATTTTCTTCATCCTGCACTTGTCCTTTTTCCTCGACTTTTACTTTTGTTTTTGCACGAAATGCCTTCTTCTGTCTAAGCCTAATCTTTTTTTATTTTATTTTTTATTTGTTTTTTTGAGACAGGGTCTTGTTCTGTTGCCCAGGCTGGAGTGCAGTGGCACGATGATGGCTCACTGAAGCCTCGACCTCCTGGGCTCAAGCATTCCTCCCACCTCAGCCTCTCGAGTGGCTGAGAGCACAGGTGTGCACCACCATGCCTGGCTAATTTATTATTTTTTTGTAGAGGTGGGATATCCCTATGTTACTCAAGCTGGTCTTGAACTTTTGGGCTCAAGCAATCCTCCTGCTTCTGCCACCCAAAGTGCTGGGATCACAGGCGTGAGCCACTGCACCTGGATCTACACCTGATCTTGCCATATGTATTCTGGATCCCAATCCCTTCCCTCTTCCTCTATGAACCTTACCTACTAGTTAATCTTCTCAACAGTTCTTCATCCCTCCTCTTCTAACGGCTCTTTCCTGTTAGCATTTGAATGTGCTTGTTTTTCTTGTCATTTGTTTGTTTATTCTTTTTTAGATTGTAGTGCCCTGGCACCCTCATAATTCATTGCAACCTTGAACTCTTGGGCTCAGGCGATCATCGTATGTCAGCCCCCCGAGTAGCTGGGACTACAGGCGCCTGCCACCATGCCCGGTGAATTTTTTTGTATTTTTAGTAGAGATGGGGTTTCACCATGTTAGCCAGGATGGTCTTGATCTCCTGACCTCGTGATCTGCCCACCTCGGCCTCCCAAAGTGCTGGGATTACAGGCATGAGGCTGCCTGGCCTTTCTTATCTTTTGAAAGATAGGCTTTTCCCTGAGTACCTACTCGCAGTGTTCTGTCTAGCTACCACCTAATTTTCTTCACTTTTTTCAGGCTTGTTTCAGGAGTTGTTTTTGCCCTGTTTCTTCACTTTCCTTTCACTCTTCAATTCACTACAAAATGACCTCACCTAAACCAGTTTGATGAGGTGCTCTCTGGCAAAAGTCTCTTAACACATTTTTTTACAGCACATTCTCTTTATATATTTTTTTCTTTTAATCATTCTGTGACTTTAACCAAAAAACACAGCACATTCTCTTTAACTAATGTAATTTATTTGCCACTCATATGCTGATGACTGTTCAATCTGTGTTTCCAGCCCAGTATTCTCTGCTGGGCTGTAGGTCCTTATATCTTACTGTCTACAAGGGCAAGTGTATCTAGATTTCCCTAAAGTGCTACTTAATCAAATCCAAACCTAAATACATAATTTTCCACTTAATCTACCTGCTATTTCTGTAACTCAGTAAGTGGTAGTGATATTTTCCTAATTGTTTATGCTGAAAGCCTGGGAGTCATTTTTTCTTACTATTATATTGATTTTTTTAAAAAAAATTATACAAATAGGCTGGGTGTGGTGGCTCACACCTGTAATCCCAGCACTTTGGGAGACTGAGGTGGGTGGATCACGAGGTCAGGAGATTGAGAACATCCTGGCTAACACAGTGAAACCCCGTCTCTACTAAAAACACAAAAAATTAGCTGGGCATGGTGGCGGGTACCTGTAGTCCCAGCTACTCGGGAGGCTGAGGCAGGAGAATGGCGTGAACCTGGGAGGCAGAGCTTGCAGTGAGCTAAAGACGGCACCACCGCACTCCAGCCTGGGCGACAGAGCAAGACTCTGTCTCAAATAAAAAAAAAAGTTATACAAATAATATATTATAGTAAAAGATACCATAAGTATATATCACAAGTATATATAGTCCTGCCCGCTTTTCTCCTACTTTACTTCCCAGAGGTAACTGCTGTTACTACAGTGATATATATAATTCCAAATTTTTTTTTCCTAAAATATTTTATTTATTTATTTATTTATTTTAGTATTTATTGATCATTCTTGGGTGTTTCTCGGAGAGGGGGATTTGGCAGGGTCATAGGACAATAGTGGAGGGAAGGTCAGCAGATAAACAAGTGAACAAGGGTCTCTGGTTTTCCTAGGCAGAGGACCCTGCGGCCTTCCGCAGTGTTTGTGTCCCTGGGTACTTGAGATTAGGGAGTGGTGATGACTCTTAACAAGCATGCTGCCTTCAAGCATCTGTTTAACAAAGCACATCTTGCACCGCCCTTAATCCATTTAACCCTGAGTGGACACAGCACATGTTTCAGAGAGCATGGGGTTAGGGGTAAGGTTATGATTAACAGCATCCAAAGGCAGAAGAATTTTTCTTAGTACAGAACAAAATGGAGTCTCCTACGTCTACTTCCCTCTACACAGACACAGCAACAATCTGATTTATCTATCTTTTCCCCACATTTCCCCCCTCTCCATTCGACAAAACCGCCATCGTCATCATGGCCTGTTCTCAATGAGCTGTTGGGTACACCTCCCAGACGGGGTGGCCTCTGGGCAGAGGGGCTCCTCACCTCCCAGACGGGGCGGCCGGGCAGAGGCGCCCCCCACCTCCCGGATGGGGCGGCGGCCAGGCAGAGGCGCCCCCCACCTCCCGGACAGGGCGGCTGGCCAGGCAGGGGCTGGCCCCCACCTCCCTCCCAGACGGGGCGGCTGCCGGGGCGGGGGCTGCCCCGCACCTCCCTCCTGGACGGGGCGGCTGCCGGGCGGAGTCGCTCCTCACTTCCCAGATGGGACGGCTGCCGGGCGGAGGGGCTCTTCCCTTCTCAGACGGGGTGGCCGGGCAGAGACGCTCCTCACCTCCCAGACAGGGTCCCGGCTGGGCAGAGGTGCTCCTCACATCCCAGACCGGGCGGCGGGGCAGAGGCGCTCACCACATCTCAGACGATGGGCGGCCGGGCAGAGACGCTCCTCACTTCCTAGACGGGATGGCGGCCGGGAAGAGGTGCTCCTCACTTCCCAGACTGGGCGGCCGGGCAGAGGGGCTCCTCACATCCCAGACGATGGGCGGCCTGGCAGAGACGCTCCTCACTTCCCAGACAGGGTGGCGGCCGGGCAGAGGCTGCAGTCTCGGCACTTTGGGAGGCCAAGGCAGGCGGCTGGGAGGTGGAGGTTGTAGCGAGCCGAGATCACGCCACTGCACTCCAGCCTGGGCAACATTGAGCACTGAGTGAGTGAGACTCCGTCTGCAATCCCGGCACCTCGGGAGGCCGAGGCTGGCAGATCACTCACGGTTAGGAGCTGGAGACCAGCCCGGCCAACACAGCAAAACCCCATCTCCACCAAAAAAATACGAAAACCAGTCAGGCGTGGCGGCGCGCACCTGCAATCCCAGGCACTCGGCAGGCTGAGGCAGGAGAATCAGGCAGGGAGGTTGCAGTGAGCCGAGATGGTGGCAGCACAGTCCAGCCTCGGCTCAGCATCAGAGGGAGACCGTGGAGAGGGAGAGGGAGAGGGAGACCGTGCACAGAAGGGGGGAGGGGGAGGGGGAGCTATAATTCCAAATTTTTATTATGGATTTAGATATTTATGTATATCCTCATTTTATGTATACATACAAACTTAGAAACTGTTGTTTACATGAATGGAATTTTGATGCCCATAACTTCCTTTGACTTGCTTTTTATTTTACTTAACACATTTGACAATTTTTGTTAGTACATATAAGTCTACTTCATTTTTTTTTATTAATCTATATAGGATTCCGTGGCATGGTTATCTGCTAGTTTTTTTAAGCATTGGTGGTTTTTAGTTTTACAAACAAATGTATTCAAGATCCACATACAAACATCTTGTTGAACATGATTATTTGTTTAAATTCTTAGGTGTGGACTTACTGGCTCAAAGGCTATTTAGATTTCACATGTGACACATACTGCCCATATGTTCTCTCTGCTCAGCAATTATTCTAGTTCTTGTTTCCCTCAGACCTTCCATCTATTTATTCTCTGTGAACGATCTTATTTCCTTAACACTTCTCAAGTATATTCCCCTCTCTGCTACTTAGTTCAGGCTGTTTTCATTTCTTGCTTGATTTACTGCAGCCAAGCCTGCAACCATCTCATTGACATTTGTCTTGCTGGCATGAACAAACAAATTCATCCATGTCTGTTTGTCTTTCTCATCATGTATATACACATACACGCAAGTGTGCACAATTAAAATCTTTCTATGGCTTCCATGGTCTTTAGGGTAAGGACTAAGCTGCTATGGCATGCTTGACCCCTTACTCACTTTTCTTGGCTAGCTTCAACTCTCCTGATCGGAATACTGAAATCCAAAAATAAATAGTTCAGTTTTAGCCATTCTGTTTGTTTTCACTATAAAATAAATACTATTATATGTGTTGTTGTTTGTTTTCGAGACAGTCTTGCTCTGTCACCCAGGCTGGAGTGCAGTGGCACAATAACGACTCGCTGCAGCCTTGAACTCCTGAGCTCAAGTGATCCTTTCACCCCAGCTTTCTAAGGAGTTGGGACTACAGGTGCACACCACCATGCCCGGCTAATTTTTGTATTTTTTGTAGTGACAGGGTTTCACCTTGTTGCCCAGGCTGGTCTCAAACTCCTGAGCTCAAGTGATCTGCCTGCTTTGGCCTCCCAGAGTGTTGGAATTACAGTTGTGTGCCACTGCACCTAGCCAAGGTGGTTGTTAAGAAGAAAAAAACTTTTTTTCTGAGACCAAATCTTGCTTTGTCCCCCAGGCTGGAGTGCAGTAGGGCAATCTCAGCTCACTGCGACCTCAGCCTTCCCAGTTCAAGCAGTTCTCCTGCCTCAGCCTTCTGAGTAGCTGGGATTACAGGCGCCCGCCACCATGCCCAGCTCGTTTTTGTCTTTTTAGTAGAGATGGGTTTCACCTTGTTGGTTAGGCTGGTCTTGAACTCCTGACCTCAAGCAGTCCACCTGCCTTGGCCTCCCAAAGTGCTGGGATTACAGGCATGAGACACCGTGCCCAGCCAAGAAGAAAAAACATTCAAGCATTCCCTATAAATATTTGCCATGAGGAACTACTTGTAGTTCCCATAATATGACACATTCTCTCTTGAGACTTCCCATGGATATTCTTTTTCCTAGAAAGTTCTACCCTTATTCATTCTCTGACTTAATTCTATTGCTTTCCATTCTCAGCTCACTCTTCACTATTCCAGGGTGTTGTCCTGGACCTTCCCTGGCTAGACTGAGTGTCCCTCTTCTCTACTCTCAATGTTTATCATAGCAGTCTTCACCTTTTGTTGTAATTATCTGTTCACTCATAATCTGTATCATTTGACTATAATGTTTTTAAGGGCAGGGATTATATATTTATATTTCCGTCTTTGGTGCCTTACTTACTGCCTGAAAGTTTGACACATAAGGCGTCCACCAGTGTTTGTTCAGCAAATAATAGTGGTTTCCATTGTATAACACAAAACCACTTCTGAAGCCAGTGAGGAAGTGTAGTCCACTCCTGCAAAAGGAAAATTAGGCCCCTATACATGGAGAACATATACTGGAAATTTACTCTATACCATGGAGGCCTTCACTTGACTTCAGTTGCCTTTGTTTTGGTGCATTTCTCCTTGGGGGTAATCACTCTTCTTTATTGGTATGTGCTACCTCTCCAGTCCCATTTGGTAGGAAAAAACAACATCTAAGGGCAACAATTTGGCATTGGCAGGTTGTGTTATTTTGAATGAAATACAGCTTTGGTCCGTTTTGCATTATATTTCAAGACTGGAAAGCAGGAGTTTTATCTGATTTCTAGGGAATGATGTTTAAATCACTGTCTGTATTGGTGATTATTTTGTATTCAAAATAGAGTAGAACTGTTCAGACTGAACTATCTATTTTTGGAGTTTAGTATCTTGGCCAAATAAGGTCTCCAAAGCATTGTTCCTTGTTTTTTCTCTTTTTTTTCTTTTCTTTTCTTTACTTTTCTTTTTTTTTTTTTTTTTTTTGAGATGGAGACTTGCTCTGTTGCCCAGGCTGGAGTGCAATCTTGGCTCACTGCAACCTCTGCCTCCCAGGTTTAAGTGATTCTTCTGCCTCACCATCCCACGTAGCTGGGATTACAGGCGCACACCACCATGCCCAGCTAATTTTTTTGTATTTTTAGTAGAAACAGGGTTTCACCATGTTGGCCAGGCTGGTCTTAAACTCCTGACCTCAAATGATCCATCCTCCTCAGCTTCCCAAAGTGCTGGGATTATAGGCGTGAGTCGCTGTGCCCAGCCTATGCTATTTTCTTTTTTTCTTTTTTTTTTTTTTTGAGATGGAGTCTCACTCTGTCACCCAGGCTGAAATGCAGTGGCACGATCTTGGCTCACTGCAACCTCCCAAAGTGATGGGATTACAGGCATGAGCGACTACACCCGGCCAGATCGTTGCTTTTGTCTGTAATGCAGCCACTAGAAACAAACCCCAAACTGGGACCACTCTCAGGTTTATATCTTTTTGTTTGTTTGTTTTCTAGAAGTGGATAGATTCATGCATGAAGTTTGGAATGCATTGAGTAATTCAACATTAATCAAGTAACTATTATGTGCCATTGGCACTGGGGGAGCACTTTGATTGTTTAGGACCATCTTCAGCATTGTACAATGTTTAGCATAAGTGGCACTACCTATAAATCCCAGTAGCGTCCCCATCCTACCCCCATTGTCTTAACTAGAAACACCTCACACATTTACAAAGGCACTGGGAGAGAGGAGTTAGAGGTGGCAGTGATGCCCTGTTTGACAATCACTGATTTTCCTGTTTTAGAAGAAATAGAAATGGACTGCATAATATATAAAATAGGATTTAAAAAATTTGTTATTCCAGAGACTGAACAGGTTATTGGATTTATGAATTTGGACTAAGATTTCTGATTTGCTTCCGAGAGGTCTGGTATTCTTCAGAAACGAGGGAGTTCTCACTGAAATATTAATAGTGAATGAGTAAGAATGGAAAATACTAGGTGTTAGGTATAAGAGGTGAGAAGAATCAGTGAGGATTCTAAGACGTAATATTCTAGGACAAGTCTAAGGCAATTCTCTACATGTGAAGTAAGTACTGTGTATACGACTTATTAGTCATACAAAATTGGGGATGAAAAAGTTTTTTTTAGTGTAAATCTTGATACAACCAAATGCTTTTTTTTTCCTAATTATGAAAGTGATAAATCTTTTTTTTTTTTTGAAACGGAGTTTTGCTCTTGTTGCCCAGGCTGGGGTGCAATGGCACGATCTCAGCTCACCGCAACCTCTGCCTCCCGGGTTCAAGTGATTCTCCTGCCTCAGCCTCCTGAGTAGCTGGGATTACAGGCATGTGCCACCACGCCTGACTAATTTTGTATTTTTGGTAGAGACAGTGTTTCTCCGTGTTGGTCAGGCTAGTCTCCAACTCCCAACCTCAGGTGATCCACCCACCTCGGCCTCCTAAAGTGCTGGGATTACAGGCATGAGCCACCACACCCAGCCAAGTGATAAATCTTGAAATAAAGGGCTTGGTGTATGTATTTTTCCCTCTGAAATAGTTATGTAAGAAATACTACATACAGGCCAAGTGCATTGGCTCATGCCTGTAATCCCAGCACTTTGGGAAGGTTGAGGTGGGAGGATCATTTGAGGCCAGGAGTTTGAGACTAGCCTGGGCAATATAATGAAACCCTATCTCTTAAAGAAACGAAATGTTACACACGTACTATACCCAAAAGAATGCCTTCAACGTATTACCCCTAAAAAACCGTAACAACTTTAAACTGACCCCATGATAAATTATATGTTATCTTGTTTGTATGATTTCACACACTAGCTAAGCTAGATTAGCGTTTTCTTTCTACCTCACATAGTGAATGTTTTGACAGGCTTATCCTTTTAGTCAGTCTAGTTCTTTGCCAGTTTTCTGTAATAAAATATCTGTTTCACAGATGAGTTACTACTTTATCTTGTTGACAAAGCTTATTTGTGCTTCTGATACTTTCAAGAGTATATTGTATTTTTCAGAAAACGCTCCCCAGCCCATTTGCCTCCTGGTACTCAGTTTCCTCAGCACATTTAATTCTCAGACTATAAAAATTTGGGGTTTTGGCCAGGTGCTGTGGCTCACGCCTGTAATCCCAGCACTTTGGGAGGCCGAGGCGGGTGGATCGCCTGAGGTCAGGAGATCGAGACCAGCCTGGCCAACATGGTGAAACCCCATCTCTAATAAAAATACAAAAATTAGCTGGACGTGGTGTCATGCGCCTGTAATCCCAGCAACTTGGGAGGGAGGCTGAGGCAGGAGAATGGTTTTAACCCGGGAGGCGGAGGTTGCTATGAGCTGAGATCACGCCATTGCACTCCAGCTTGGGCAACAAGAGCAAGACTTCGTCTCAAAAAAAAAAAAATGGGGGGTTTTATAATTAATTACTATGGAGGAATCTTGCTCTTCAGATGTCCTTCACTCAGCCTTGTGAGATACTAGAATCTTATTGATGCTCATTTGAAGGGTTATTAACTTTGGAATGCCCAAATAAGGAGCAGCAAATGACTCTTGTATGCTAAATTAGTATTGACACTTTATGTTGAACATACATGACTACCAG
Organism: Homo sapiens; assembly: GCF_000001405.40. Classification (NCBI taxonomy): domain Eukaryota; kingdom Metazoa; phylum Chordata; class Mammalia; order Primates; family Hominidae; genus Homo; species Homo sapiens. The sequence goes on along the minus strand of NC_000014.9, from coordinate 77,741,837 downwards.
GGAGCCATTTACTTAGAATCCTTTCCTTATAACCGTTGCTATGGAGAAGTGATAAACTCCTCATGATTAACTCTTCATAGAATTGGTATTTTTTTCTTGTGTTGTTATATAATTTTCAGCTTAGGGTTGTATAGGTTTTTCCATGCTGAGAGGAAATAAGACTTTTGAGGTCAGATAGTAGCTGTATGATCTTAATGTACTGAACCTCACTCTTTTCAGTAGAGTGAGCTTTATGGTCCCTTCCAAAATCAACACTCTTAGAGTATGGTGACACTAATAACTCACATATCAGTAGTACGTGTTTTGTGCTAAATCATCTTAGGCTTTCTTACCTGATCCCTCTTCTCACTCCTGAGAAAAACAAGCTGGAGATTTTAGTGTATAGCCATGAGATAGTTTTTTCTGGGAAATCAGTAGCTTATAGAAAGTTCTGTACGGCCTAAAATATAAACTTATTTATTTATTCATTCATCCATCCATTCTTTAAAATAGAGATAGGTCTTGCCATGTTGCCCTGGCTGGTCTCGAATTCCTGGGCTCAAGCTATCCTCCAACCTTGGCCTTCCAAAATGCTGTGATTACAGGCGTGAGTCACTGTTCATGGCCTATAAACACCTTTAGCATGTAACAGAATATCTCTAAAATTCATTTATTTATTCATTTGTACAAAAAATATTGATCAAATATCTCCAGTCATTATTATAAAGCACAGGAGACACTTTTTTTTTTTTTTTTTTTTTTGGAGACAGTTTCACTCTTGTTGCTCAGGCTGGAGTGCAATGGCATGATCTCGGCTCACTGTCACCTCCGTCTCCTGGGTTCAAGCGATTCTCCTGCCTCAGCGTCTCATGTAGCTGAGATTACAGGCACCCACCACCATGCCTGGTTAATTTTTCTGTTTTTGGGAGAGACGGGGTTTCACCATGTTGGTCAGGCTGGTCTTGAAATCCTGACCTCAGGTGATCCACCCACCTCGGCCTCCCAAAGTGCTGGGATTACAGGCGTGAGCCACCGTGCCCTCCCCGTTTTTATTGTTTTAATACGGGAGACAGATAATAACCATGTAAAGTAGATAATTTCATGCTGTGAACAGTCTTGATCACAGTAAACAGTGCTATGGAGCAAATGATTGGGTGGGGAGGGGTTACTACTAAGGCAATCAGAAGAAGCCTCGATAATGGAGGACCTTTGATCTGAGACACACAGATTGAGAGCTTACTTGAAGAATGATAAACAGAACTCTGTAAAGGCCTAGAATTGGGGAAAAGTATGTTATGTTCAAGAAACAGAAGATGAGCTAGTGTGACTGAAGCATAATGAGTGAGAGAGTGAGAGTTGTAAGGGGAGATTGAAGGCATAGGCAAAGTCAGGTCAAGTTGCATAAGCCATAAAGTGGCTCACACTTTTTTGCTCTGTTTGGAGTAGAAAATTAGAAATAGCATGCATTTCCTTTAAACTTTTTTAATGAATGATGTATGATAGACTTATTAATATAAGACTTTGGCTTGTAGTGGTAAACAGTTCTACAAAAAAAAATTCTGGAGATCTCAAGTGCCTAGGAATTTGATTTTCTTTGATATTTATAAGTTGTCCTTTCTTTTTATGTACCTCAAAGAATTTCTGACTAAAGCATTAAAGGTAGAATGCCTATTATTTATTGAATTTTCTGTATCTCTCTCTTTTTTTTTTTTTTTTTTTTTTTAATATACAGTGTCTTGCTCTGTCACCCAGGCTGGAGTGCAGTGACGCAATCTTGGCTTACTGCAAGCTCTTCCTCCCGGGTTAAAGCCATTCTCCTGCCTCAGCCTCCCGAGTAGCTGGGACTACAGGCGCCTGCCACCACAACTGGCTAATTTTTTGTATTTTTAGTAGAGACGGGGTTTCACCATGTTAGCTAGTATGGTTTCGATCTCCTGACCACATGATCCAGCCACCTCAGCCTCCCAAAGTGCTGGGATTACAGGCGTGAGCCACCGCGCCCGGCCCCTCTGTATCTCTTTTTTACTTTAAAATATGCCATGTAAATTGTTATGAAAATATTTAAGAAGTATAGATGGACCTGAAAGTAACCAGTATTCTATTTGTTAAGAGCCTACCACATCAGTGTCAGCCTAATAGAAACCATGTTGGGCATAGTAGAAGTCATATAACAGGCCTCAATTTGGATAATGGATATAAAATAAGTTGTATATATAGAATATATTTTTCTTTTTCTTTTTTTTTTTCTTTTGTCTTCTCATGGAAGAAAGCATTCTGGGTTTTTTAACTGTGGCACATGTTTATTTTCTTAGTCTGTGAATAGAGTTGATGGCAGAAAAGAGAAGCGTTATAAATAGGATGAGGTCAATAAAATTTTTCAGGCCCAGTGAATTTGGAAATTATTTGGTAACCTGACTTAAATTCTGATGAGTTTGTAATCCAGGTTAATGGTGCTATAGGCAATTTGTATTATCATTAATTTCAAGTTTTAGTGGGCCTCAAAAATAGTGATCATCAATGCATGATTTTGTTGGCATGGTTTATTTGGATACTAACTTGATTAGAAGATCTCAAACAATTTAAATGCATGAGGTCAAGGGAAAATTACTAACTTACAGCCAGGGTAGCAATTTGTTTATATATTTTAAGCTTCCTTGGTTTTAAAATCTAAAAGAGAAAATCTGAGTGTCCTAAATTTTTAAGTGTGCTGAGAGGGCATGTTGACATCTGAAATGGCTAATGAGGTTTCTTTTCGTTGTTTGCTTTTCTTAAGCCTGCTTGTGTTTGAACATTTTAGGTCATTTATAGCAAATACACTGACCTGGTTCCAAAGGAGGTTATGAATGCAGATGATCCAGACCTGCAAAGGCCCGATGAAGAAGCTATTAAAGAGGTAACTGGGAATTGATATATTCGATGACTATTTACATCCTGATTAACTTCCAAACTCTCAATGTGATATTTCCTATTTCAGATAACAGAAAAGACAAGAGTAGCCTTAGAAAAATCTGTATCACAGAAGGTCGCCGCAGCCATGCCAGTTCGAGCAGCTGACAAATTGGCTCCTGCTCAGTATATCCGGTATGAATCATGCCTAGAAGACTTAGTTTCATTCTGAACTTGATTCAGCTTGGGGGGTCATGGTATTCTTTCACTAACCCACTTAGCAACCATTATAAATGCATTGTTTTCAATAATGACTCAAAGCCTGTCTACTGTCTTTGCAGACAATTGAAAGCAGAATTTTTTAAGGTGTCCACTTTGGTTTTTGTTTGTTTTCTGAGATAAAGTTTCTGTGTTGCCCAGGCTGGAGTACGGTGACACCAACACAGCTCACTGCAGCCCCCACCTCCTGGGCTCAGGTGATCCTCCTGCCTTGATGCCACCATGCCTGGCTAATATTTTAATTTTTTGTAGAGACAGGGTCTCGCTGTGATGCTCAGGCTGTTTTCGAACTCCTGGGCTCAAGCAGTCCTCCTGCCTTGTCATCCCAAAGTGCTGAGATTACAGACTTGAGCCACCAGACTTGGCCTCTTTTTATGCTTTTTTTTGGGGTGGGGGACAGAATCTTGCTCTGTTGCCCAGGCTGGAGTGCAGTGGTGTGATCTTGGCTCACTGTAACCTCTGCCTCCCAAGAGATTCTTCTGCCTCAGCCTCCTGAGTAGCTGGGATTACAGGTGCCCACCACCATACCTGGCTAATTTTTGTATTTTTTTTAGTAGAGACAGGGTTTCACCATGTTGGCCAGGCTGGTCTCGAACTCCTGAACTCAAATGATCCATCCTCCTCAGGTCCCAAAGTGCTGGGATTATAGGCGTGAGCCACTGTGCCCAGCCTATGCTATTTTCTTTTTTTTTTTTTTTTTTTGAGATGGAGTCTCACTCTGTCACCCAGGCTGGAATGCAGTGGCACAATCTTGGCTCACTGCAACCTCTGCCTCCTGGGTTCAAGCGATTCTCCTGCCTCAACCTCCTGAGTAGCTGGGATTACAGGCTTGCACCACCATGCTCAGCTAATTTTTGTATTTTTAGTAGAGACAGGGTTTCACCACGTTGGCCAAGGCTGGTCTCAAACTCCTGACCTCAGATGATCTGCCCACCTCGGCCTCCCAATGTGCTGGGATTACAGGCATGAGCCACCCGGCCTGGCCCTATGCTATTTTCAAATTATATTTTTTGTTTTTAGAAATTAACAGTTACTTGTGGTATATGACCTAAATCACAATTATTATTTATAGTTTTCCATTTATAAGTAATAGATATCTTTATAATACTTCTAAATTTTGAGGCGTTTTACTTGACTAAATCTGCATAGAGAATTGAATCACATACAGATATTGAGGAAAAATTCAGAGCTGGTAGGGCTGCTGTCATTATTCTTTTCTCTGTTTTATAACCTATGATTAATCAAAAACTGCTAACCGTAAGTTGCCTGCTGGGATTATTATGAGTGTTTTTTCCTCAGATGCAGGCATACTAAATAGGTACTATTTTCTAGACTGCTTATCTGTGAAACTGAACACGGCACCTTCCATGTTGGAAAACATATGAGGATGGGTTATTTGCAAACTAATACCACTCAAGTTTATATTTTGACTGTAACTCATAATTTATGTTCTTTTATCCCTCTTGCTGTCTGCTTTGTCTAAATATTTTGTTAATTTTCTGTTAATACTTTGCGAAAGGAATTGAAAATGTAGTCTAGCTTAAGATTGTAATAGAAGGAAAATACCTACTGAAAGCTTGAACTAATTACACCTTTAGTTTTTATCTGCTTTCTTCAGATACACACCATCTCAGCAAGGAGTGGCATTCAACTCTGGAGCTAAACAGAGGGTTATTCGGATGGTAGAAATGCAGAAAGATCCAATGGAGCCTCCAAGGTTCAAGTAAGTGAAAAGGAATAGGCTACTAATACACACAATAACATGGATGAATCTCAAAACAATATGCTGAGTGAAAGAAGCCAGGCAAAAACAAGTACATACAGTATGATTCCATTTATCTAAAACTCCAGGAAATGCAAACTAACCTATAGTTACAGAAAGTAGATAGGTGGTTGCCTCTGGGGAAGGAGGTAGGGACAGAGAGGAGATGGGAGGGACAAGAGGAATAGGCAAGGGGCAAGCAGAAACTTTTGGGGATGATAGACATGTTCACTATCTTGCTTGTGATGATGATTTCACAGGTGCATATTTGTGTCAAAATTTAATCAAATCGTATGCTTTAAATATGTATAGCTAATAAATGTCAATTATCTCAATAAAGCTGCCTTTTTTTGTTTTTGTTTTTGTTTTTGTTTTTGTTTTTTGAGAGACAGTCTCGCTCTGTCACCCAGGCTGGAGTGCAGTGGCATGATCTCAGCTCACTGCAACCTCTGCCTCCTGGGTTCAAGCGATTCTCTTGTCTCAGCCTCCTGAGTAGCTGGGTTTACAGGCGTGTACCACAATGCCCAGCTAAGTTTTTGTATTTTTAGTAGAGACAGGGTTTCACCATGTTAGCCAGGATGGTCTCGATCTCCTGACGTCAGGCGATCTGCCCACCTTGGCCTCCCAAAGTGCTGGGATTACAGGCATGAGCCACTGCACCCGACCTAAAGCTGCTTTTTAAAGTGGAAAAAAGTATATTACTCTGCAAAATGACAATAATGTTGTGGAGGTGGGGTGAGTAACAGTTTCAAAGTTGGCCATGTTTTATTCATTGTCAAAGTGGAGTGGTAAATGTATATCATTATACAGTCTCTGTTTTTGTCTATGTTTGAAACTTTTATGCAAGAAAAAGGAGGAGAGACTTGATATGATGACTAAAAGGGAGGAAACTATATCACTCTCTGGTTGTGTTTTTATACTTCAGGATTAATAAGAAAATTCCCCGGGGACCACCTTCTCCTCCTGCGCCTGTCATGCATTCTCCTAGCCGAAAGGTATTCTTTGCTGTAGTCCAAAATATTTTTTTCTACTCATGGTTATTAATTTTATAGATAACCTCCCTATGCCTATACAGGTGCATGTCACCACACTGACTTGTAGTTTCTTTTTTTATTTTTCAAGATGAAGTTTCAAGAATGCTTATGAGAATGTATATAACATGTTAGCTGTAAGTTTTGTTATTAGTAATGCAAACCCTACTTTTAATGGAATGGACAGGGTCTGCTGTTTCAGTTTAAGGATGTTATAGGAAGTGAATATATGGGTTCATTAGGTCCCTGGTAATTTGACTTTTTAAGATATGTTTTGTTAATCAAAAGAACAATTTTTCATCCAAAAGAAGTCACATCGGCCGGGCGTGGTGGCTCACGCCTGTAATCCCAGCACTTTGGGAGGCCGAGGCGGGCAGATCACCTGAAGTCGGGAGTTCAAGACCGGCCTGACCAACATGGAGAAACCCCGTCTTTACTTTAAAAAAAATTAGCTGGGCATGGTGGCGCATGCCTATAATCCCAGCTACTTGGGAGGCTGAGGCAGGAGAATCACTTGAACCCAGGAGGCGGAGGTTGTGGTGAGCCAAGATTGCACCATTGCACTCCATCCTGGGCAACAAAAGCGAAACCCCGTCTCAATAAAAAAAAGAAAAAAGTCACATCACTTTAAATATGGAAAAATACTAGCCAACATTTATAACTGTCAAGAATAATTTCTAGATTATTTTCCATTTTTCACACTAGTTCAAAGTTATTACTAGAATTATATGGTAAACTAGTGCTAGCAAACAAATGGACTGCTGGCCTTTTACTACGGCTGTGCATATGTCAGTGTATATGGAGCTGTCTTTGAAGATAAAGATTATACTTAGATTTACTTTGTAGACTATAAATCTAAACTTGTCTCTTCTTTCCCTCTTCTCTCAGATGACTGTAAAGGAACAACAAGAGTGGAAGATTCCTCCTTGTATTTCTAACTGGAAAAATGCAAAGGTAATTAAGTTGTCAAATCAGTCTCTATTAGTATAACCTACTGGAAAACACCAGTAAAACAACTACAGCCTGCATAACTGTAGTTGAAACAACACGTGGTTTAACTGAGCATTTTCAAAAAGGAATGCCCAATTTGGTGACTTTTTTAATGTAATAGAAATGTTAGTATGCCAGGCACGTGAATACCGTGTCAGTTCCTTTTTTTTTTTTGAGACGGAGTCTCGCTCTGTCACTAGGCTGGAGTACGGTGGCATGATCTCAGCTCACTGCAGCCTCCACCTCCCAGGTTGAAGCGATTGCCCTGCCTCAGCCTCCTGAGTAGCTGGGACTACAGGCGCATGCCACCACGTCCGGCTAATTTTTCGTATTTTAGTAGAAACGGGGTTTCACCCTGTTGGCCAGGTTGGTCTTGATCTCCCGACCTTGTGATCCGCCGGCCTCGGCCACCCAAAGGGCTTAGATTGCAGGTGTGAGCCACCGCACCCGGCCCCATATCAGTTCTTTTAGTGAATTGTAGCTAGCAGAAGCACATAGAGAAGGAATAAGTAGAATAAAGTGTCATATAAATACAAGATGGTATTTAGAAAACTCAAATTTATATCTAAAAATTATTTCTAAAAGAAAGTAAACTGATGTAAAAGATTATATGACAAAAGAACAGAGTAAATGCTTGGATACTTTAAGTGCTTTAATATTCAACTACTGGGCTCTGTAGTAGTGAAGGCTTAAGCTATATATCTCTAATAATTGCCAAAGTTTCTAGGAGTTGTTAAGAATCTGTAGATTGTGGGATAGATTTGCTAGTTACTGTTTCATCTTCCCTGAATCATAGTTCATGATTTTATTTTTGATGGATAAAGAAGACCATTTCAGGTTTCTTAAGAGAATTTATATACTCACCCTAAACAAAGAGGTTGCCGACTGGTCTGATTTGAGTTGATTGGTATTTTGTAACTGGATGGTATCTTGAGCTGGTTCTATAATGCTTCATTTTATTATGAGACCATGGACTAAAAGTCAACATTTGAGAGACTAGTCAGATATCTGGAAAATAAAGCTAAGCCTGAAAGTTACATAGACATTCAAGTACAGTTCTTGAGTTATTGAAATGGGATGCAAAGTTTTAGAATGTAGAAATTCAGTTGTTTAGCAAACATTTTTTTTTCTTTTTTCTTTGGTTTTTTTTTTTTTTTTTTTTTTTTTTGAGACGGTCTCGCTCTGTTGCCCAGGCTGGAGTACAGTGGTATGATCATGGCTCACTGCAGCCTCAACCTCCCAGGCTCAGGCGATCCTCCCACCTCAGCCTCCCGAGTAGTTGGGACCACAAGTGTGCCCCACCATGCCTGGCTACTTTTTTGTATTTTTGGTAGAGACGGGGTTTCACCATGTTGCCAGGCTGGTCTTGAACTCCTGGGCTCAAGCAATCCACCTGCCTTGGCCTCCCAAAGTGTTGGGATTACAGGCTTGAGCTACTGCACCCAGCCTTTTTTTTCTATTTACTAAAACTTCAGGATTCTAAGAATATAACAGATCATTAAGACAGTACAGCAGATTTAACTTCCTATAGATGCTAAGATTATAGTGATTCTACCTTTGTTTGACTGTTAAATTTACTTGAGGAGCAACTGTTGAACTGTTTGACAGTGATTTCCTTTTATTAAAATCGACAATTATTAACACAAATATCTATTTTTCCAGAGCTTGGGTTCTGAAATCCTGCTGAGTTTAAATCCTAATCGCCCACTTACTAACTGTATGACCTTGGGGATGTTACCAAAGCATCAGTGAAATGGACACAATAATGTTAGAAGCTTTATAGAGTTATCGTGAAGGTTAAATGAGACCATAGGTGTAAGTGCTTGATCTTCTACATAAAGCACTCATTGATAGCTGCTGTTGTTTTGCATCATTGTGAAGAAAGATGCAAGGAAAAAGAACCTCCAGTTAAGTGGTTCTCAAAATGTGGGCATATTTAAATTTAATTTTAGCCAGGCTCGATGGCTCATGCCTGTAATCCCAGCACTTTGGGAGGCCAAGGGCGGATCACTCAAGGTCAGGAATTCAAAACCATCCTGGCCAACATGGTGAAACTCCGTCTCTACTAAAAATAGAAAAACTAGCCGAGTGTGTGGCGCACGCCTATGGTCCCAGCTACTCGGGAGGCTGAGGTAGGAGACTCGCTTGAACCCAGGAGGCAGAGGTTGCAGTGAGCCGAGATGGCACCCCTGCCCTCCAGCCAGGGTGACAGAGCAAGACTCCAGCTCGAAAAAAATAAAATTAATTTAACTTCAGACGATTAATTGAAGCACTTCTGTGACTGGGTTTTCTGTCTGCTTTCACTCTAGGGTTATACAATTCCATTAGACAAACGTCTGGCTGCTGATGGAAGAGGACTACAGACAGTACACATAAATGAAAATTTCGCCAAATTGGCAGAAGCCCTCTACATTGCTGATCGGAAGGTTGGTTTGTTATAATTTGTTTAATGCTCTTGTTACTTTTAAAATCCATTCTTGGTTACCTAAGGTACTGATAATTTAACTATAGTACCGAGCACCCAAAGAGAGTCTCACCCATGGTACGTGTGTCAGAAATGGCAGCTGCTAGTTGGCAGCTCTCTGCATGCTCCCAGCTTTTGTAGATGTGTACATACACCCCACAGTGGTGATCCGGCTCCCTCACAACATGTCAGAATAATGGTTTCCTAGGATGATCCCATTTTTTGAAGATTGCTAGGTTTCATAATTTTTGATTTCAAATTTTCCTCTATTTTAGATGTAGATGTCCCCCAAAAGGGCAGTTGCAGGAAAAGGCAGATAAACATTCTAATGAATTGAATAGTACATAAAATGGCGTTCATAGCATTGGCCATCTATTAATGTTACATAATGTATTAAATATTATGGAATTAGGCTGGGCACAATGGCTCATGTGTATAATCCCAGCATTTTGGGAGGCCAAGACTGGTGGATTCCTTGAGGTTGAGAGTTCAAGACCAGCCTGACCAATGTGGTGAAACTCCATCTCTACTAAAAATACAAACATTAGCTGGATGTGGCATGCACCTGTAATCCTAGCTACTTGGGAGGCTGAGGCAGGAGAATCTCTCGAACCCAGGAGGTGGAGGTTGCAGTGAGCCAAGAACGCACCACTGCACTTCAGCCTGGGCAGCAGAGTAAGACACTTCATCTCAAAAAATATATGTAAATATAAATATTATGGAATTAATATGTGATATTGAAGTTCACATGCATCATAGCATGTGTTTGGAACATAAAAAAAATGTCTTTTGTATCACAGTGAGTACCCTTATAAAAATTATCTAGCAGATGTAAGTTAAGATTTTATCTTGAGTTGACTTGATTAACTTTGAAAGTGTTATTAATTTTGAAAATGTTATTTTTTTGAGATGGATCTCACTATGTTGCCTAGGCTGGTCCCAAGCTCCTGAGCTCAAGCAGTCCTTCCACCCTGGCCTCCCAAAGTGCTAGGATTGCAGGAGAGAGCCACTATGCCTGGCTTTAATTTTGTTCTTTAGATTGTTTCTGAGAAAGCATTAGTGAAATACTTGACTTACAAGATTAATTGGGGTCACGATAGTTTCAATCACTAAAATATTCCCAGAGAAAAAAGCTGACCTTGCAGTGTCTTCCAGGCAGGATATCTTTTAGTGGACAAGACTCTTTGTTTTAATTAGCAATAACAAATCTGAATTCTGTATAATTGCTCTTACCAGCCAGATGTTAGGGAGTTGGATGATAGCCATAAATATTTATCCCATGATAGTGTCCTGTTTAACATGTGACTTTACCAACAGGCTCGTGAAGCTGTGGAAATGCGTGCCCAAGTAGAGAGAAAAATGGCTCAGAAAGAAAAGGAAAAACATGAAGAGAAACTTAGAGAAATGGCCCAGAAAGCCAGGGAGAGAAGAGCTGGGATCAAAACTCATGTGGAAAAAGGTATGACATTCTCATTACTGAATTGAATTTTGCTTGGTGAACAAAATATATCTTATTTTAGAAAATCTTTTTCCTACTGCATATAAAGTAGGTACATATAAACAAAATTTAGATACATCAGATATAGTGTAGAAATGGAGAGTAATCTCTGCCTTAGTAAGCTGAAGCAACAGGAGATAAGAAAAAAGTGGGTCTTCAGTTTGGGACTGTACCAGAAATTTTTAAACTTCTGAGCAGTGTACTTTTCAAAATTGCATTATTACTCAAATGATAGGCTTGATTTTCTCTTATCTTAATCTCAAAACTTAAGAGAAATTAGGTATCTAACAGAATAATTCAGCTCCCTCATATGGTGAAGTAATCCAGAGTTTTTCTATCTTGTAGGCTCCAATGCATTTCTCATCATTAAATCTGCCAGTATTTTCTCTCTGACTTTACTTAGTGGTCTACATTGGTGTATTAATTCAATTAGAGTGGGAAGTCGAGTCCTAAGTATAATTCAAGAAATTTTGTGAGGGTGGTTATTTTTTTTTCATTACTAAATTCTTACCTGGTACATTTATTCATTCTTTCATTTATTTAGTTCATATTGAGCATCTGCTGTGTGCAAGGTTCTCTTTTAGACACAAAGTGTTTTTGCTAGACAGTGGGTAGGGGGATGGGATATAACAGTCAACATTCTGGTGAGTGTAGACAGACAGAAATTAATCATGTAGTATAGTAAAAGGTAATAATTGCTGTGGAGGAAAAATAATACAGGGAAAGAGGATATAAAATTGCCAGAAGGTGAGAGTGGTCAAATAGCCCTCACTTCTGAGATGGTGCTGTTAGCAGAAATACTTGAAGAAAGTAAGGAAGCAAACCATGTGGATTTCTGGGGGAAGAGCATCCCACACAGAAGGGCCAGCAAGTACATGGCTCTGAAATGGGAGTATGCCTAGTGTGGCCCAAGGAAGAGCAGACAGGCCAATATGACTGGATTTGTATGAGAAAGAAGGGGATAAGTAGGAGATGAGGTGTCAGAATAGTTAGGGCAGGTGGGAAGAGTAGTGGCCAGATCATGTATGGCCCTTTAACCTAAAGATAAAGCTTTTACTACAAGTGAAAAGGGAAGCAATTGCAGGGTTTTGAGCAGAGTAATGACCTGACATACTGTTTTCCAGCTTTATTGAGGTACAATTGGCAAATAAAAATTGTATAAAACATACAACATGATGTTTTAATATACACTGTGAAATATTCACTACTGCCAAGCTAATTAACTTACCAGTCATCTCTTATAGTTACTTTTTAAATTTTTTGGTGAGAACACTTAAGATCTACTCTCTTGGCAAATTTCAAATATACAATGCAGTACTGTTAACTATAGTTAACATACAGTATATTAGATCTCCAGAACTTACTCATCCTGCATAAATGAGACTTTGTACCATATGACCATTTCCCCTAACATATATTTTTAAAAGACCTCCCTGGCTGCTGTGTTAAAAATAGAATACTGTGGAATGGGCATGGGCTAATGCCTTCCAAATAAACTGTAAGAGAGATAGTAACAAGAGGTAACAAAAACATGGTCCCATATTGGATGTATTTTGGTAGTAGAGTTGACAAAATTTGTTTGTGGATTAGGTGGAGATACGAAAAAAAGTAGGAGTTAAGGATGACTCCAGAACTTTTATCCTAAGCAGTTGGGAAGGATTAAATTGCCAATTGCTCAGGATAAAAGTAAATATTACTTTTATTTACTAATATTGGGAAGACTGCAGGAGGAACAGGTTTGGGAGGGAAAGATGAAGAATTTATTATAGTTAAGGATATGTTAAGTTTAAGATGGAGGTGCCAGGTAATTGGTTACAAGAGTCTAGAGTTCAACCATAGGGAAATAACCAGGGTTTTAAGTAGTGATCCACTTCCCTCAGTTATATATGAATGACTTAATAAGGTGAGATATAAATACCTGCCTGGTTGTATACCTAACCATAGAAGATAATTAGAAGTAAAACTTACTGCATTTGAGTTCTCTAAACTAATAAGAAAAAGACAACAGAATCGTTCTCAAGAAATTAAAAATTTTAATGAATCTCTTGCCAGATAGTAGTAAAAACTAACATTTATCAGGTGCTTCTTATGGTGGGCACCACTCTGAGTACTTTATTTGCATTATCTCATAATCCCTGGGATAACCCTATGTAGTGATACTATTATTGTGACTGTTTTACAGAGGAGGAAACTAAGGCTTATAGTATTAAGTAATCTGCGCAGGTCACATGGTTAATTGGCTATAGAAACAGGATTTGAATCCAGACAGGCTTGCTCCAAATCTTATGCTCTTAACTGTACTCCATTCCCTCAGACTGGCGAGGGTAGAAAAAAATGAAGATAGATATAAATGCAGTGGAAATCAAGATCCAGCCAGCCCCTAAGGGAAATAAGCTGACAGTTCTTTATTCAATAGAATCTTTGAAAATATAAGGGAAACATTATGCATAATTCCTTTTTTCTGACTTTTTTATTATTATTATTATTTGGTTTTTTTGAAACGGAGTTTCGCTCTTGTTGCCCAGGCTGAAGTGTAATGATGCAATCTCAGCTGACTGCAACCTCCGCCTCCTGGGTTCAAGCAATTCTCCTGCCTAAGCCTTCCAAGTAGCTGGGATTAAAGGTGCCCATCACCATGCCCAGCTAATTTTTTGTATTATTAGTAGAGATGGGGTTTTACCATATTGGCCAGGCTGGTCTCAAACTCCTGACCTCAGGTGATCCACCTGCCTCAGCCTCTCAAAGTGCTGGGATTACAGGCATGAGCCACCACACCCAGCCTTTCCTGACATTTTATTATGAACATTTTCAAACATACAGAAAAGCTGAAAGAATTATATGATGAACACCCGTATCTCCTACCACCTAGATTCTACACTAATTTTTTTTTTTTTTTTAACAATTAACATTGCTCCCATGAAAGAAAAGCTCAGGATTTGACAGCTTCACTGCCGAATTTTTCCAAACATTTAAAGAACTAAATACCAGTTCTACTCAGACTATTCCAAAAAATTGAAGAGAAGGGAATGCTTCCAAATTCATTCTACAAGGTCATTAGTATACTGACACCAAAACTAGACAAATATACAACAAAAAAGAAAACCACAGGCTAACATCCCTGATAATCTTAGATGCAAAAATCCTTAACAAAATTCTAACAAACAGATTTCAACACATTAAAAAATATCATTCATCATAATCAACTGAACTATCCTTCATCCCAAGGATGCAAAGATGGTTCAGTATATGCAAATCAGTAAATGTGATACATCACATTAATAGAACCAAGAATAAGAACCATAGCATCATTTCAGTAGAAACTGAAAAAGCATTTGAAAAAATTCAACATCCCTTCATGATAAAAACTCTCAACAAAGTGGGCTTAGAAGGAACATAACTAAAAATACTTAAGGCCATATATGACAAACCCACAGCTGACATACTGAATGGAGAAACATTGGAAGTCTTTACTCAGAGATCTGGAAGAAGGCAAGGATGCCCACTTTCACCACTGTAACTCAACATGGGACTGGAAGTCCTTGCCAGAGAAATTTAGGCAATAGAAAGAAATAAAGGGCATCCAGATTGGAAAGGAAGGCCAGGCACAGTGGCTCACACCTGTAATCCCAGCACTTTGGGAGGCTGAGATGGGCAATCACTTGAGGTCAGGAGTTCAAGACCAGCCTGGCCAACATGATGAAACCCCGTCTGTACTAAAAATACAAAAATTAGCTGGGTATGATGGCGTTCACCTGTAATCCCAGCTACTCAGGACGCTGAGTCACAAGAATTGCTTGAGCCCAGGAGGCAGAGGTTACAGCGAGCTGAGATCATGCCACTGCACTCCAGCCTGGGCAACAAAGCAAGACTTCATCTCAAAAACAAAAAAAAACAAGACATCAAATTATACTTTGTCAGAGACAGTATGATCCTATATTTAGAAAAACCTAATGATGCCACCAAAAAACTTAAAACTGATAAACGAATTCAGTAACATTACAAGATACAAAACCAACATACAAAAATCTGTAGCATTTCTATATACAAATAGGATACCCAAGCTGAAAAACAAGAAGGCAGTCCCATTTATAATAGCTACCAAAAACTACCTAGGAATAAAGGTTTTTTTTTTTTGAGACGGAGTCTCACTCTTGTCACCCAGGCTGGAGTGCAGTGGCATGATCTCAGCACACTGCAACCTCCGCTTCCCAGGCTCAAGCAATCCTTGTGTCTCCGCCTCCTGAGTAGCTAGGACAACAGGCGCACACCACCACGCCTGGCTAATTTTTTTTATTTTTAGGAGAGATGGGGTTTCACCACGTTGGCCAGGCTGGTCTCAGACCTCAGGTGATCTGCCTGCCTCAGCCTCCCAAAGTGCTGGTATTACAGGCATGAGTCACTGCACATAGCCTCCTAGGAATAAACTTAACCAAAGAAGTGAAAGATCGCCACAAAGAAAATGATAAAAGACTGATGAAAGTAATTGAAGAGGCTGGGCATGGTGGCTCACACCTGTAATCCCAACACTTTGGGAGGCCAAGGCAGAAGGATTACTTGAGGTCAGGTGTTCAAGACCACCCTGGGCAACACAGTAAGACCCTATCTCTTTTTAAAAGAAAAAAAATTAAATTTTAAAAACAGAAATTGTAGAAGACACTCTAAAAATGGAAAGATAGCCCATGCTCATGAATTGGAAAAATTATTATTGTTAAAATGTTCATACTACCCAAAGCTAGCTCTAGACACAATGCAATCCCTATCAAAATACCAATGACATTCTTCAAAGAAATAGAAAAAACAATACTAAAATTTGTATGGAACCACAAAAGACCCCAAATAACCAAAGCAATCCTGAATAAAAAGAAAAAAAACTGGAGGCATCACACTGCCTGGCTTCAAAATATACTACAAGGCTATAGTAACCAAAGCAGCATGGTACTGCCATAAAAACAGACACATAGACCAGTGGAACAGAATAGAGAACCCAGAAATAAATGGATCGGCTATAAATGCATGGAATTTTTGATTGTTTGGAGACAACGTCTCACTCTGTCATCCAGCCTGGAGTGCAGTGGTGTAATCTTAGCTCACTGCAACCTCCGCCTCTCAGACTCAAGCTATCCTCCCACCTTGGCCTCCCAAGTAACTGGGACTAAGGCACGCACCACCACGCCTGGCTAATTTTTGTGTTATTTTAGAGACAGGGTTTTGCCATTACACCCAGGGTGGTCTCAACCTCCTGGCCTCAAGTGATCCACCCGCCTCAGCCTCCCAAAGTGCGTTACAGGCATGAACCACCACCATGCCCAGCCAATGCGTGGATTTTTAACGCTGATGCCCAAAGCATACATTGGGGAAAGGATAGTCTCTTCAATACATAATGCTGTGAAAACCGAATAGTCACATGCAAAAGAATGAAAATAGACCTCTTATTTCTTATCACATACAAGAATCAAATCAAAATGGATTAAAGACTTAAATGTAAGGCCTGAACTATGAAACTGCTAGATGAAAACACTGGGGACATGCTTCAGGACATTGGTCTGGACAAAGATTTTTTGGGTAAAATCTCAAAAGCACAGACAGCAAAAGCAAATATAGACAAATGGGATTGCGTCAAGCTGAAAAGCTTCTGCACAGCAGTCAACAGACTGAAGAGGCCACCTACAGAATGGAAGAAAATGGTTGCAAAATATCCATTTAAGAAAGAATTAATAACCAGAATGTACAAGAACTCAATCGCAAAGAAACGAGATAATCTGATTTTAAAATGGGCAAATGATCTGAATAGACGGTCTCAAAAGAAGACATACTTATGGCCAACAGGTGTATGAAAAAATGTTCAGCATCACTAATCATCAGGGAAATTCAAATCAAAACCACAGTGAGATATTATGTCACTCCAGTTAAAATGGCTATCATTAAAAAGGCAATAATAGATGCTGGCGAGGATACAGAAGGGGGGGAACACTAGTACATTTTTAGTAAGAATATAAATTAGTACAGCCACTATGGAAAACAGTATGGCAGTTCTTCAAAAAACTGAAAATAGAGCCACTACGTGATCCAGCAATTCACTGCTGGGTATATATCCAAAAGGAAATCAGTATATCAAATCAAAAAGGGATATCTGCACTTCCATGTTTATTGCAGTGCTCTTTACAGTTACCAAGATACGGAATCAAGTTGTGTCCAGTGGGTGAATGGATAAAGAAAATGTGGTCTATATACACAATGGGATATTACTCAGCCATAAAAAAGAATGAAATCATGTAATTTGCAACAATATGGATGGAACTGAAGGTTATTAAGTGAATAAGCCCGGCACAGAAAAACGAATACTGAATCTTCCCACTTGTATGTGGGAGCTAAAAAAGTTGGTCTCAAGGAAGCAGAGAGTAGAATGGTGGTTACCAGTGGTTGGGAAGGATGTTGGGGACAGGGAATGAAGAGAGATTGGTTGATGGTACAGAAATACAGTTAGAAAGAGTAAGTTCTAATGTTCCTAGTACAGTGGGGTGAATAGTTAGTGATAATTTATTGTATATTGCAAAATAGCTAGAAGAGAAGAATAGTTAATGATAATTTATTGTATATTGCAAAATAGCTAGAAGATTTAGAATGTTCCCAACACAAACAAATGTTTGAGGTGATGGATATCCTAATTACCCTGATTTGATTATTACACATTTTGTTCATGTATCAAATATATATACCCCATAAATATGTATAATGATTATATATCAAAAATAAATTTTAAAAGCAATTAACATTGATAAATTTGCTT
Organism: Homo sapiens; assembly: GCF_000001405.40. Taxonomy (NCBI): domain Eukaryota; kingdom Metazoa; phylum Chordata; class Mammalia; order Primates; family Hominidae; genus Homo; species Homo sapiens. The sequence goes on along the minus strand of NC_000014.9, from coordinate 77,724,161 downwards.
TATCACATATTTGCCCATCTTTCTGTCCATCTGTCTGTCCGATTTACTGCATTGCATTTCAAAGTAAGTTGAAGACAGCAATACATTTTACCCTTAAATATTTTAGCCGCATGCTTGATTCTAGAATTCACATTCAAAAATTAAACTAATATCATTTATTAGACTTAAATTAATTGCAAGTAAGGTTTAAAAGGCTGAGTGTGACTACAAAGAAGTTTGGAATTTTCTAAGGTTAAAAAATATTCTCTTGTTCAGAATATTGGCTGGGTGCGGCAGATCACTTGAGGTCAGGAGTTTGAGACTAGCTTGGTGAAACTCCATCTCTACTAAAAATAAAAAATTAGCCCGGCATGGTGGTGCACACCTGTAATCCCAGCTACTTGGGAGGCTGAGGCAGGAGAATCGCTTGAACCCGGGAGGCAGAGGTTGCGGTGAGCTGAGATCGCGCCACTGCATTCCAGCCTGGGCAGCAAGAGCGAAACTCCGTCTCAAAACAAACAAAATACTAATGGGGCTGAGTGCAGTGGCTCACACCTGTGACTCCAGCACTTTGGGAGGCCTAGGTGGGAAGATCACTAGAGCCTGGAGTTTGAGACCAGCCTCGACAACATAAGTGGGACCCCATCTTTACAAAAAATTTAAAAATTAGCCAGGCATGGTGGCACACATCTGTGGTCCCAGGTACTCGGGAGGATGAGGCAGGAGGATCACTTGAATCCAGGAGGTAGTGGCTGCAGTGAACCATGTTCATGCTACTACACTCCAGCCTGGGTGACAGAGTGAGATGCTGTCTCTTTTTAAAAAATTATATATATACACACGTGTACACGTATGCACACATATAATACATATTACAGTGAAGTACTTTTCAACTGTTCACACAGAGGATGGGGAGGCACGTGAGAGGGATGAAATCCGGCATGACAGGCGAAAAGAGAGACAGCATGACCGGAATCTTTCCAGGGCAGCTCCTGATAAGAGGTAGGTGTTATTTAAGATGTGTACCAATCATGGTGGCCGGGCGCAGTGGTTCACCCCTGTAATCCCAGCACTTTGGGAGGCCAATGCGGGCGGATCACGAGGTCAGGAGATCGAGACCATCCTGGCTAACACGATGAAACCCTGTGTCTACTAAAAGTACAAAAAATTAGCCGGGCATGGTCGTGGCAGGCGCCTGTAGTCCCAGCTACTTGGCAGGCTGAGGCAGGAGAATGGCGTGAACCCGGGAGGTGGAGCTTGCAGTGAGCCGAGATCACGCCACTGCATTCCAGCCTGGGCGACAGAGCGAGACTCCATCTCACAAAAAAAAAAAAAAAAAAAAAAGATATGTACCAATCATGAAGAGTGGCCTTTTTGTACCTTTTAGAGCAGAGTTTTAGTCCACTAAGATCAGTTTTGCTTCTCTCCCTTTCTTCTTTAGTTTGATAACTTAATAAATTAGCACTTAATTTTCTTGTACTTAACTACTTTGTCTTAGCTCTAGTTGACTGTCTTTGGAATTAATCTTCCATCACTTAAGTCAGAATTGAGAATGATGGGAATATAGAAAACGGAATCGAGATCAGATTTTTGAAAAGGATGTAGTAGTAAATTTGGACTGTTATAGTCCGTTCTTTTTCTACCTCAAATGGTGAGATAAATGGATTATGTGCCTCTTTAGACAGGAAATAAGCTTTCATGCTTTTATTGAGATCATTTTATATGCATAGTACTGCATCTAGTACAATTGAGGAGAAGAGCAGTTTTGAAAGAAGTAGAAAATCAGCTCATTTTTAGGAGTAGTTTAACTTACAGTTCAGAAAGACAGAGCTATCCATAAAATAATTTGAGAAAATTTGCAAAGCACTCTTAGTAAGTATAAACGTATAGAACAAACTAAATATATATATGAGGGCATAGAGTAAAGTAGGAATTGGGGAAGTTTATGGCTCACCAAAGGCTGAGGACTAAAAGTTCTGAAAAGTAGAGGGAACGCTGCAATACTAAGGTGGAATTCTGAGTGAGGGTTAAATGCAAATATAGAATATTTTCTTCCCAAATGAACAGTTTTCTGTGCTCTGATCATCCCATGAGCCTAATACATTTTTCAAGTCATATTTTAAACACAAAAAAGAGGCCGGGCACAGTGGCTGACACCTGTAATCCCAGCACTTTGGCAGGCCAAAGCACGCGAATCACTTGAGGTCAGGAGTTCAAGACCAGCCTGGCCAACATGGTGAAACCCCATCTCTACTAAAAATGCAAAAATTAGCTGGGTGTGGTGGCACATGCCGGTAGTCCCAGCTACTCGAGAGGCCGAAGTGGGAGAATCACTTGAACCCTGGAGGCGGAGGTTTCAGGGAGCCAAGATCGTGCCACTGCATTCCAGCCTGGGCGACAGAGTGAGACTCCGTGTCATAAAAAATAAAAAATAAAAAAATAAAAATAAATAAGCATGAAAAAGATTCCTGCTGGTATTAATTGGCATATTTCATCTCCCTGGATAAATGATGTCATGGAGAAGCAAAGACTCTTACTCTTGAGAGTTGAGGGTAAAGTACATGTAGAAGGAGGAGCAAAGTGTGAAAGTGTTTAATTAATGACAGTCTTGGTTAGTAATTCCTAAGTTGTAAAAGTTACAATGGCTCTGTGGATAAATTGGGCCCTCAAAACGAGTAAAGTGGCTATCAGAATTGACAACATAGAAAAGCTGTGAAATTGTAACTGGATGAAAATCAAACAGCCTATAGAAATCATTTTGTGACCTGAGTTTTTAGTAAAACAAGTAATGACAGTTACCATGGTTTCATTGGGATGTAGGTTGCATATATAATGCAACAGCCAGGAAACCAAATTAATCTGAATGTCAAAAATCATACTAATTCAGTCATTGACATGTTTTCCTCAAAATTCTAGTGGGATAAAATTACTAAATGTGGTTAGATAAAAGAGCTGTTTCTAGCTTATTTAAAATGTTTCGTGTGCTACATCTAAATTGTATCCACTTCCCCAACCCCCAAACCATCATATAATGATAGTAAATATAGACCATAGCAATTTTATATCTCAGCATGGTTGTAAGGTGATTGCTTATATTAAAGAATTCCATGTCAACGAATCTGTTAGATGTTCTTTTGAGCTAACAGGACGTCCTAATTGTAAAACTCTCCCTCTAATCTGAAATGCTTTATAAGGGCTGCCAGCTTGATTATGTATCATCAAGGAATATATGTTCACAAGATGTGAATGTGACATATTCACATCCTTTGTTTCTGAGATTGGTTGTATTTCTATTGAACATATTCAGCTTGTCTATAAAGAGTTTTCAGTTAGTGATGTCGTATTTCAAAATAGGTCGAAACTTCAGAGAAATGAAAATCGGGATATCAGTGAAGTTATTGCTCTCGGTGTTCCTAATCCTCGGACTTCCAATGAAGTTCAGTATGACCAAAGGCTCTTCAACCAATCCAAGGTACAAGTTTAGGAACAGCATATTGTGTGTGTTGATGTGAATACCTATCCTCAGGGAAACGAAAATTAACATACTTTACATTTGGATGTAAATGCCAGCATGATGACAAAAAAATTGGAAGTTGTATGTTGAAACTTGAGACAAGATGAAACAGTTCTGATTTTAACTTCTTATAGTGGGCTGAGATTTGAGACACTAGGAGAAGAAAGAAATTAGGTGATTAAAAACTTGGTGTTGTGGTATGTCAACCTTTTGTTTCTAAAATAGAACCAGGGAGGCCAGGCATGGTGGCTTTTGCCTGTAATCCCAACACATTTGGAGGCCGAAGCGGGCAGATCACCTGAGGTCAGGAGTTCACAACCAGCCTGGCCAACATGGTGAAACCCCATCTCTACTAAAAATACGAAAACTAGCCAGGTGTGGTGGTGCACGCCTGTAATCCCCACTACTTGGGAGGCTGAGGCACGAGAATTGCTTGGTGAGCCAAGATTGTGCCACTGCACTCTAGCCTGGGTGACTGAGACTCTATCTCAAAAAAATAAAAGAGTCAGTGTCCTACAAAAGTGCCTCTTGGGTTTTTTTGTTGTTGATTTTTGGATTTTTCTTTTAATGCTATAGAAATATATCAATTTGGGATTCTTTTAAAAATGAAGCTGTAAAACGGGATTAAAGTACTAGGCTGGCTGTCAGGAAATCTGATTTCTAGTACCAATTGCCATTAGCTAACTAGGACACTTTAAGCCTGGGAAAACACACGCGGGCGCATGCGCACACACAAGAATACAGAAGTGTAAGTTCTACTGGAAAGTAGAGTGGGAAACTTAATTATGACTTGGAGGTTTTAAGTAAGCTCTTCTAAGTGATAATTTATTAGATGCATTTTATATTCTTGGCATTGTTCTAAGTCTTGTTATTATCTCAATTCTTACAAAAATCCTATGAAATAATACTATTATCTCTTATGTTATAGATGAGGAAATTGAAACACAGGTTTAGCTTGTGACTGATGGAATTAAGATTCAAACTGGGTGTCTTGATTTCAAAGTTTTTTTTGTTTGTTTTTGTTTTCTGATATGGAGTCCCACTCTGTCGCCCAGGCTGGAGTGCAGTGGTGCCATCTCGGCTCACTGCAACCTCCACCTCCCAGGTTCAAGGGATTCTCCTGCCTCAGCCTCCTGAGTAGCTGGGATTATCACAGGGCATGTGCCACCATGCCAGGCTAATTTTTGTATCCTTAGTAGAGACAGGGTTTCATCACGTTGGGTCAAGCGGGTCTTGAACTCCTGACCTCGTGATCCTCCTGCCTTGGCCTCCCAAAGTGCTGGGATTACAGGCGTGAGCCACTGTGCCCAGCCAATTTCAAAGCTTTCTTAACCACTATACAATGGCAACTTACCAGCTGAGCAAAGGGATCTAGGGGTGAAATTTCACGTAAGTAAATATTTTCAAGATAATCACCTGTTAGAAGCTTAAGCTTAAAACATTTAAAAATTGTGATGAAAATATTTCTGGCTGGGCACTGTGGCTCACGCCTGTAATCCTAACACTTTGTGAGACCTAGGCAGGCAGATTGCTTGAACCCAGTTTAAGACCGGCCTGGGCAATATGGCAAAACCCTGTCTACAAAAAATTAGCTGGACATGGTGGCACACACCTGTACTCCCAGCTACTTGGGAGGCTGAGGTGGGAGGAACACCTGAGCACAGGGAGGTCACAGCTCCAGTGAGCTATGTAGCACTTTGTGAGACCAAGGCAGGCGATCACCTGAGGTCAGGGGTTCAGGACCAGCCTGGCCAACATGGTGAAACTCTGTCTCTACTAAAAATACAAAAATTAGCTGGGTGTGGTGGCACATGCCTGTAATCCCAGCTACCTGGGAGGCGGAGGCAGGAGGATCACTGGAACTGGGAGGCGGTGGCTGCAGTGAGCCAAGATCACACCACTGCACTCCAGCCTGGGTGACAGAGTGAGACTCTGTCTGAAAAAAAAAAAAAAAAGAATCCAAAGTTGTTATGAAGTTCATGTGCTACCAGTTTTTTAATGAAGACTTTTTAATTTGCAGTTCAGATTGTTGAAAATGTGAGCTGTACATTAGCAAGGGTTTACTGTAAACATGTTATGATTCAGCTTTTGATAAACAATGTTTACACTTTTATTTAATGTCATCCATTTTTCCACAGGGTATGGACAGTGGATTTGCAGGTGGAGAAGATGAAATTTATAATGTTTATGATCAAGCCTGGAGAGGTGGTAAAGATATGGCCCAGAGTATTTATAGGCCCAGTAAAAATCTGGACAAGGACATGTATGGTGATGACCTAGAAGCCAGAATAAAGACCAACAGGTGCCAAGCCATACAACTCAATTTCAGTGTTTACACTGGTGAAAGCAAAGTAGTTCATAGTTTTTTCTCCTTTTCCTTAGATTTGTTCCCGACAAGGAGTTTTCTGGTTCAGACCGTAGACAGAGAGGCCGAGAAGGACCAGTGCAGTTTGAGGAAGATCCTTTTGGTTTGGACAAGTTTTTGGAAGAAGCCAAACAGCATGGTGGCTCTAAAAGACCCTCAGATAGCAGCCGCCCCAAGGAACACGAGCATGAAGGCAAGAAGAGGAGGAAGGAATAGGCACAGGTCTCTCCAAAGTGAATGAACTCTTACCCATAACCCTAATGATGCAAGTCATATGGGGGAACACTTTGTAAATGGTCAGGATAAAAACCAAATCTGGGTGCCAGATCCCAGCACTACTTTTTATTACTGGAGAAATGGGGGGGATAGAAAATTCTACTTTGAATTATTTAGTTTTTTTTAAAGAGTGGGTTGTGTTTGTGCTTCTCCCACCTTTCAGCATTTATAGAACATGCTGCCCCACATACAAAGTCAAGACCACTTACTTTTATGTGACACTAGTAGTTTGGGGTTAATGTTTTGTGTAAGAACAGCTGCATATGAGTAAAGTTACCCCAACCACAGTGAGGAGGAAGATGTTCACATACTGGAACTGTCCTGCCAAATAAATTTTGCCCCTATTGTGCTCTGTTTTAATTTGGAGTGGGCAAAGTAACCTCTTGCTTGGTGCAACTATTTGTTTCAAATAAAAACATTTAGACAAAATTCTCAGTTATGTTAACTTTATTAATAGGCTGCAGTCTCAAAAATCTTTCTTTTCATCATCAGATGTTTGCGGAAGTTTTGGCCTTCTAGTGTGAACCTGGACCTTAAAAAAATAAGCACTGTAAGGGAGGAAAGGCAATGTCTGCAAAAACATTCAAACTGAAAATCACTTTATTAGGGAGTCAGTATGAATAATGAATAACCCAGGCAGTTTTTATTTGTCCCTTGTTCTTTCGTTTTCTCCTCAAATTCCTTTTACCATCTTTGTTGGTATTATGACTCCCTAACCCTCAATTAAAAATTGTAAATCAGACCAGGGGCAGTGGCTCAGGCCTGTAATGCCAGCATTTTGGCAAGCTGAGGCAAGAGGATTGCTTGAGGCCAGGAGTTCAACACCACCCTGCAACATAGCAAGGCCCTGTCTCATTAAAACTAAAATTTAAAATAAAATAGTAAATCAGTTTGGCCCAGGATCACATGGTGGGTAAGCCAAGATTTCAGCCCCAGCTTGCCTGACCTGAAAAGCAGACTGCTGGCCAGGCGCTGTGGCTCACGCCTGTAATCCCAGCACTTTGGGAGGCCGAGGTGGGCGGATTGCCTGAGGTCAGGAGTTTGAGACCAGCCTGACCAACATGATGAAACCCAATCTCTACTAAAAATACAAAAAAAATTAGCAGTGCGTGGTGGCGCATGCCTGTAATCCCAGCTACTCGGGAGGTTGAGGCAGGAGAATCGCTTGAACCCAGGAGGCGGAGGTTGCAGTGATCCAAGATTGCACCATTGCACTCTAGCCTGGGCAACAAGAGCAAGACTCTCAAAAAGAAAAAAGAAAAGTAGACTGTTATGTCCACTGTGTTACATATCTTGCTACCCATTAAAGGGTCATCTTGTACTTTCCTGGACCTTTTAAAACTGGGCACTCTACCACCCCCCATTTTTTTTTTTTTTTTTTTTTTGAGATGGAGTTTTGCTCTTGTTGCCCAGGCTGGAGTGCAATGGCGCGATTTTAGTTCACTGCAACCTCTGTCTCTTGGGTTCTCCTGCCTCAGTCTCCTGAGTAGCTGGGACTACAGGCATGTGCCACCACGCCCATCTAATTTTTTTTGTATTTTTAGTAGAGATGGGGTTTCTCCATGTTGGTCAGGCTGGTCTCAAACTCCTGACCTCTGGTGATCCCCCCCGCCTCGGCCTCCCAAAGTGCTGGGATTATAGGCATGAACCACTGCGCCTGGCCTACCACCGCACCATTCTTTTTTTGTTGTTGTTTTGTTTGTTTGTTTGTTTGAGATGGAGTCTCGCTATCGCCCAGGCTGGAGTGCAGTGGCGCAATCTCGGCTCACTGCAGGCTCCACCCCCTGGGGTTCACGCCATTCTCCTGCCTCAGCCTCCCGAGTAGCTGGGACTACAGGCGCCCGCCACCTTGCCAGGCTAATTTTTTGTATTTTTAGTAGAGACGGGGTTTCACCGTGTTAGCCAGGATGGTCTCGATCTCCTGACCTTGTGATCCGCCCGCCTCGGCCTCCCAAAGTGCTGGGATTACAGGCGTGAGCCACCGTGCCCAGCCTCCACCCCACCATTCTTAACAAGCATTAAGGCAGCTTCAGTTACAAATCTCTCCAAGTCCCCATCATTCCACATTTATGATCTATTTAATTGATACATAATTAAATAGTACCTACATGTATATCATGTATGTATCTGGCATAGAAATAAATTTACCTTTACTCCATCTATAATATGATTTTCCTGTTGTAGTGCATTCCGAAGTCCTTCTTCTGAAGAAAACTGAACCCAACCCAAACCTCTGTGAAAGCCAGTCTCCTTGTCCTAAAAATTCAAAATATAGGAAAAGATTAATCATGAACTTCAGAAAGTTTCCATGAGTTCCAAATCAAACTACCAACTTTTTCATCTGCCAAAAATCGGACTTTTTAATTTAATTTTATTTTATTTTTAGGCAGGGTCTTGCTCTGTCACCCAGGCTGGGGTGCAGTGGTATGAACGCAACTCACTGCAGCCTCAACTTCCTGGGTTCAAGCAATCCTCCCACCTCAGCCTCTTCAGTAGCTGGGATCACAGGTACATACCACCATGTCTGCCTCATTTTTTATATTTTTTGCAGAGATGGGGTCTTCCCATCTTACCCAGGCCGGTCTCAAACTCCTGGGCTCAAGCAATCTTCCCATCTGGGCCTCCCAAAGTAGTGAAATTACAGGCATAAGCCACCATGCCCAGCCAAAAATCGGATCACAGACATTTATAAGTGTCAGTAACCTTGCTTTACACCCTTCCTGATTACCCAAGGCTAAATCCCTGTGTTGTTAAGCTTCCTGTTTTCCTTGCTGCCATTAGAGAAGATACGGGTCATGAGCTTTCTGTGTCATTCTAGATGCAAACCATACTAACAGTAATAGCTAAGGGAAATTTTGATCAGTACTCTTGTTCTAAGCTTCGTTTCTAGAAACTAGAAAATTAAGCCTCAAAGCCTTGTTGCACTCATTTCTGAATCCAGTCACCCTCACCACCACCACGACTATCATCACGTGTTCCTAATGAAAAACAAGAAAAGATAATATTTAGCCCTTACTCAACCTAGTTACAGACTTCTGGTTAATTTAAACAATTTTGCTATTTTCCCTTGTGCAAAAGTTTCAACCTATACATCGCATACGGAAAACAGATTCTAGAGTGCTTGGATGTACCCTGCCCCTCCAGCCCTTCGACAGAAAACAGATATTAAGATGTCTAGTCCCTGTAGATGACAAACTGGTCCTCATTAGTCTCATTCAAGTCATGCTGTGCTTTGCCAAAAAAAACAAAATCTTACAATTGCTCCTCTACTTCAAGGATAACTTTATAAGGATTAACCTAGAAGACGGAAAGTTTCTGGTGATGTCCCAATGATCCATTCATTGTAGATACAACAATTTCTAAAGCATTCCTTTATTGTCATGTGACCACTTCCACAGTCAAAGGCATTAAGAAATTTGTTTATATTAAAACATAGGCCAGGTGCAGTGGCTCAATCCCAGCACTTTGGGAGGCTGAGGTGGATGGATGGCTTGAGGTCAGGAGTTTGGGACCAGCCTGGCCAACATAGTGAAACTCCATCTCTACTAAAAATACAAAAATTAGCTGGGTGTGGTGGCCCATGCCTGTAGTCCCAGCTATCTGGGTGACTGAGGAAGGGGGATCACTTGAACCCAGGAGGCAGCGATTGCAGTGAGCTGAGATCACGCCTCTGCACTCCAGCCTGGGCGACAGAGCAAGGCTGTCTCAAAAAAAATAACTCAGTCCAGGTGTGGTGGCTCATGCCTGTAATCACAGCACTTTGGGAGCTGAGGTGAGTAGACTGCTTGAGTGCGGGAGCTCGAGACCAGCCTGGGCAATATGGTGAAGCCCCATTTCTACAAAGAGTACAAAAAATTAGTCAGGTGTGGTGGCACACGACTAATCCCAGCTACTCAGGAGGCAGAGGCAGAAGGATCCCTTGAACCCAGGAGTTCAAGCCTGCAGTGAACTTGATTGTGCCACTGCACTCCAGCCTGAGTGAGAGAGAGAACCTGTCTCAAAAAAGGAACCAGGATTTCCAACTAGAGTACAATGAATGGAACAAAAAAATATTTTTTTTGTCATATTTTATTTTGTTTTACCAACATCAAAGCCGCCTTTTATTTAAATCTAAGATCTATTCTTTGCAGGTCCTATTTTATTTATGGACCAATAAAAATCTATTCATTTTTTTGCAAGGAACTTTTTATTTAAATGCTCTTGAAAAAATTGAAGTTTTCAAACTTACAGAAAATATTTCATGTCCATAATACATGTGCCCAACTTTTCTATTCAACTATATAAAATTCCATTGCATCAGTGACTTAATATCTAATCAATCCCAGTGATGAACATTTAAGTTTCTTCTTCTTACTTGACATTAAATAATGCTGCTTTGGAATATTCTTGACCACACATTTCTGTAGGATAAATTCTTAGAAAAGTAACCGCTAGATCAAAGCAAATATAAATTCTTAACTTTGGTATTTTGCCAACTACACAACAGAACTGAAGGTACCAGTTGAACTTCTCAACAACTTGAGTGCCAGATTCCCTACACCTTCACCGGCACTATATATAACTAATCTGTTAGTCTTTGGGAGTCAAGTAACATTAAACCAAGAATTAAGAATTTAAGTTCCTTTATGTTGTTATTTTACCACAGCCCTTACAGTGCTGCAAGGAAAAAAGGGTTTCAGTGAAGTGTGTGTGAACTCTATGTACTCACATCACACCCTAAAAAAGCCCACAGAAAAATACAGCCCAGGATAAATTTATAGGCTGATTTCTAAACCCTCACAAGAAAGCAAAGGAAATGTAATTAATATAAAAATATTGTTTTATTAGTTATAAATCTAAAAAAGAAAATGGTACTCAATGAAGATAAAACTTAAAATATCCTCTGCCAATTATTAGAAATCTCAAGTCCTTATTAGAATACTGTAGTAGGCAGAATTCTAAGATGGGCCCCATGATCTCCATGCATTCCCCATGTTACACCCTATATAATCTCCTCCCCTCCTTGGGTGGAGGAGAAACCTGACTTGCTTCTAACCAAAAGAATACAGCGAAAGTAATGGGATGTCACTCCTGTGATTATGTTCTGTATAAGATGCCATCTTAAGCAGACTGGAGAAGCCCTTGCTGGCTTTAAAGAAGCAAGCTGCCATATTGTAAGACAGCCTACAGATAAACTAGGTAACAAGGAACTGCAGGGAGTTCCTAGGTGAGAGCAGCTCCCAACTCAGAGCCAAAGGTCAACAAGAAAACAGACCTCAGTCCTACAGTTAAAGATGAATTATGGCCGGGCATGAAGGCTCACACCTGTAATCCCAGCATTTTGGGAAGCCCAGGCGGGCGGGTCACTTGAGGTCAGGAGTTCGAGACCAGCCTGGCCAACATAGCGAAACTCCATCTCTACTAAAAATACAAAAAATTAGCCGGGCGTAGTGGCGGGCGCCTGTAGTCCCAGCTACTCAGGAGGCTGAGGCAGGAGAATGGCGTGAACCCAGGAGGCAGAGCTTGTGGTGAGCCGAGATCGCGCCACTGCACTCCAGCCTAGGCCACAGAGTGAGACTCCGTCTCAAAAAAAAAAAAAAAAAAAAAATTAGCCGGTCGTGGTGGCGCATGCCTGTAGTCCCAGCTACTCAGGAGGCTGAGGCAGGAGAATGGCTTGAACCCAGGAGGCAGAGGTTGCAGTAAGCTGAGACTGCACCACTGCAACTCCAGCTTAGGCAAGGGAGAAAGACTCCATCTCAAAAAAAAAAAAAAAGGAATTTTGCCAACCACATGAGGGAGCTTGCAAGTCAGTCTTTTTCCCCAGTTGACCCTTTGATGAGACACACCACAGCCCCAGCTGACACCTGGAATATATAGCTATGTGAGATCCTAAGGAGAGGACCCAGCTAAACTGTGCTCAGCTGTGAGAGATGTGTTGTTTTTGAGCCATTACGCTTGTGGTATTTTGTTATACAACAATAAAAAAACTAACACAAATACCTATGATAAAGCTTTTTCACTTTTTAATCAAGTATCACTCAAAATGTAATCAATAAAGACTGTAGGCCGGGCACAGTGGCTCACGCCTGTAATCCCAGCACTTTGGGAGGCCAATGCAGGAGGATTGCTTGAAGCCAGGAGTTCAAGATCAGCCTGGGCAACATGGCAAGACCCCCATCTCCACAAAAATAAGCCAGCACAGTGGCTCACACCTGTAATCTCAACATTTTGGGAGGCCGAGGTGTGCGGATAGCTTGAGCCCAGGAGTTCGACGAGACCAGCATAAGCAACATGGCGAAACCCCATCTCTACAAAAAATACAAAAATTACCCAGGTGTGGTGGTGCATGCCTGTAGTCCCAGCTACTCAGGAGGCTGAGGTGGGAGGATCACCTAAGCCTGGGAGGCAGAGGTTGCAGTGAGCCATGACTGCATCACTGCACTCCACCTGGGGTGACAGAACAAGACCCTGTCTCTTAAAGAAAATGAAAATTAAAAAAATTTTCCAGTCTGGACAGTATGGCGAAACCCTGTCTCCACTAAAAAATACCAAAAAAGTTAGCTGGGCATGGTGGCACATGTCTATAGTCCCAGCTACTCAGGAGGCCAAGGCAGGAAGATCACTTAAGCCTGGGAGGCAGAGGCTGCAGTGAGATCAGGCCACTGCACCCCTGCAGGGGGACAGAGCGAGACCCTGTTGCAAGATAAGAATTTTTTAAAACACTTTAAGCTTTTTTTTCAACAATTTTTGTGAGTGTATAGTAGGTGTATATATTTATTTGGGTATATATTTATATATATTTATATATTATTAGGTGTATATATTTATATATTTATATATATAAATATGTATATTTATTATGGAGTACATGAGATGTTTTGATATAGGCATGCAATGTAAATTAAGCACATCATGGAGCATGGGGTATCTATCCCCTCAAGCATTTATCCTTTGACTTATGGGGTATCCATCCCCTCAGGCATTTATCCTTTGAGTTACAAATAATCCAATTACACTCTGAGTTATTTTAAAATGTACAATTATTATTGACCATAGTCACCCTGTTGTACTATCAAATAGGTCTTATTCATTCTATTTTTTTTGTACCCATTAGCCATCCCCACCTCCCACCTACTTTTCCTTAATACTTACAAAAGGTAAAATGCACCTTCTGACATGGCCGAACTGTGCAAAGTGTTCTTTCAGCTGACCTGTGTGGCAGAAGAAAACATTAAAAGTAGTTACTATATTTTGGATTCTCTATCTTAGACTGTAGAAAGACAGGGTCACCAGATTTCTTGTGGACAGGAACTACTTTGCATTTCCTTAAAGGCTTAAGATTTAGGAAGCAGCTATGGTACTGACTATAAAGCCATAATGTACCAGACTTGGTGGTGAGATGGACAGAGAAGTTGTTGAGTTGGCTGCAGTCTCCATCCTCAGCAAATATCGAGTGTTTTCATACCAGTTACTGTGCTATGTGGACTATGATCCCTGTGAGCAGATCACAATGAAGAAAAAGACAAATTACAATCCAGTGTGTTTCCCGGTATACTGAAGATTTCCAAATAAAATCCCAACTTACTGGTCTTTCACAATTTAGTAAAATGTGTTGAGTTGCCCTCACCTACCCTTCCTGCCTTATTTCCCACTGCTAGCCCCTAGTTACTCTCTAGTACAACTAATTGAATTATCTTTATCTGTCCTGCGGGTTACCCTCTTTGCATATGTTGTTCTCTCCCCTCCATATGTTGGTAATCCTATCTCCCCCTGGCTAACTTGTAACACTATAACTATCCTTCAAGACCCAAACCAAGTACATCCACTGAGTATTACTTTATTGGGCTCCTATCACAGTACAAGACAATGTACCAGCCCTGTGAGACTTCAAAGATTTAGAGTATATAATCTTAAAGACTAAAAACTACACGATCTGTTTCTCTTCTGAACTACAGTGCTTGTACTTCACTGATTTACTTTTTATAATATCTATTTAGTTCTCCTAGTTCACCAAAACCTCACTGGTTCAACAATTGCCTATATTTGTTCTAAGTCTCTTCATCCCCACCACTAATTGTAAGCTCCCTCAGCATATAAACCACTATGTTTACAGTGACCAATAAACAGCAGGGCCTCAATATTGGCTAAATGAATAAGTAAAAGTCCACTAATCCTTCCAACAATCCACAGAGACTAAATTTTGAAGGGCTCTAATGGTTAAGTCAAACCAACTGGCAAGATCAAGGTCTCACAGAATATGATACTGGAGAACAAAATAATGTTAAACATATGTTTTATACCAGATAATTAAAGTCCTAGAAGACACTGATTTCAAAACAAACCAGCTCTGGAAGGTAACCCTCTTCCTAAATTGCCTAAAATGGTGAAGGAAAAACAGCTGCAAGCACCAAGAACAATGCCTACCACAGAATAGATACTCAAATAAATATTTGCTGAATCAATGGAACAACAAAGAGAAACTGTTTCGAAGCTGTACATAATGCTGACTCTTTTTAAGGGTTTTAAACTAGCCCTTTATTGTCTGGAAACTTGCATCCGCAAGATGCTAATGAAACTCCTCAGCCTTTCCATAAAGTTTCACAGGGACTACGGGAGACTTTACTGGGCTTGGTCTTCACCAACCACATGTTTAAAACACGGGGCACAAACCAACCTATTTCCCATTCTACTACTCACATCTGAGCCACTAAAAACTTAGAAGAAACTAAATCTTGCTCCATTTTGTTTCCAGGGGTTGACCTGAAACATGAATATCTACAAAAAGAGTGACCACGAATGTTTACATGTTGGTAAGCAAATATAAAAACCTCATCTCAAAACTGCAGCTGACAAAAATTGAAGGTGGTGAAAGATTTCAGAACTAATTATTCCAACCTTTATCTGTAGACTAGGCCTCTCCCGTAAGTTTCAATTTTAGTTACCGTGAAAATAACTATCATTTGCTGAGTACTTACACTGTATCTAACACAAGTCTAAGAAGTTTGCATATAAACTCAATCCTCTCAACAATCCTATGAGTTGGGTATTATTGACTCCATTTTATCGATGAGTAAACTGAGGCCCAGTTGTGAGCCCTTTTCCCATACTAACTTCAGTTATTCAAGTGATAACAACGATTAAATGGCCAAGTTGGAATTCTAACCCCAACGGTCTAGCTTCGGAGTCCACTTCTCAGCCACAATGATATACAACCTTTGTCCAATTGCCTGACGGAAACCTCACAAGTTTCTCAAAGTCAACACATTCAAACTTTACTCATCTTCTCTTGGCCTGCTCCTAACTTCTAAACAAACAATTCACCAATGCTAAAAACCCAGAAATCATTTCTCCCTTTCCTTTATTCCGTACACTTCTCCCACTTAAGCCATCACGAAACGGCATCTAATTTGCTTTTAAAACATTAATGCATCTGACCACCATCCTTCTACCATCGCCCTAATTCAGGTCCTCACGTTTTAAGTAAATTAATGAAATTGCCTTTTAGCTCCTCTGCACGCCTACAATCTTGCCACCTTGAATCCATCCTCCACACTACAGTCAAAATTATCCCTTCTAAATTGTAAATCTTGGTTACCAAGTAATAAATCTTTACACCAAATCACTCCTAAAGGCAAGAGCCGGTGCATTCGTGACCCCAAAAGCTCAAGGGACATCCCTAAACGGTTAACTGCAAACAAAATTTCTTTCTGCTCACTTGCATGCTCAGGAGCAGTCTCCTAATTCAGCCACCACGCTGACTTAAGTACCCTGCAAAAAGCAGAAGCTTTGAGGATCACTTGGACCTAAAAATTCCACTACTCCCACATCTCCATCACTCACTCGACGCCGCAGTCCAAGGAATTCTTCTCACAAAAGCAACCGGCTGATTGATACTTCTACGCAGCGCCGCAGCACCTCTCGCTGCTGAGGCCGCCATCTTCAGACTAAAGCACCTTCTCGAGCCGAGGTCGCGGCCCCGGAAAAAATTTCCGGATCCGGAACACGAGAGAATCTGCTTCCGGATCAGAGGGTATAGGCCGCGAGATGGGGAAGATGGCAGCGGCCGTGGGCTCTGTGGCGACTCTGGCGACTGAGCCCGGGGAGGACGCCTTTCGGAAACTTTTCCGCTTCTACCGTCAGAGCCGGCCCGGGACCGCAGACCTGGAAGGGGTCATCGACTTCTCGGCGGCCCACGCAGCCCGTGGCAAGGGTCCTGGTGCCCAAAAGGTACAGAGAGAGGAGTGGCGCGCGTCTCTCCATCGCTTTGCCCCGCGTCTTGGAGGGACTTACGTGTCTTCTTCGCCTCTTTTCACCTCCAGACCGATTGTTATTGAACGATTCCTGACCTCCTTTGGCTGCAGAGTCGAACTCCCCACTAACCGTCACACTTAGCAATAAAGCGTTGAGATGCCTGTTTCTTTAGGCGGCCATTCCTGGCGGGGGCGCTCAGTCAAAAGAGCCTGGGAATCCGTGTTTATTTCTTACTGTAACTGTCTCCTCACATTTCTGTTTGGGTTTTTGTAAAACCCCATAGAACGTCTTTGTAGACGGTAGGGTAGACTTCTGCAGCTTAAAAAAAACCACTCCCGAGGAATCCCAGAACTGACAGGGATGCGGCGCTGTTTGTTAAGCCACTGTGCGTAAAACTAGTCCCTGTCTTCTCCTCTGGCTCTTTTAGAAGGAGGTCATTGAAGGATTCTGAGAATCCCTCCGTGTTGAAAATAAATGGCAAACAAGTATATATGGAATACAGGCACCGTTCTCTCTCTCAGCTTTTCCCCATGGAGATTAAGAAGGGGAACACAGTCCGGGAGCGGTGGCTCAAGCCTGTAATCCCGCACTTCGGAGGCCGAGGCGGGTGGATCGCTTGAACCCAGGGGTTCGAGACCAGCCTGGGGCATGGCAAGACCCCCGTTTCCGCCAAAAATACAAAAAATTAGCCAGTCTCATAACCTGTTCTCAAGTAAATAGATTTTTTAAAAATTATTTTTTTAAGGGAACATAACAGGCAAGAGGGAAAACGGGGAACCAAAACTGTAGTCCAATTTATATTTTCTTTCTTTACAATCCACTTTAACGTTGAGGATATGCAGTCCCTTAATTTGCTCTTGGTGTTGTCCACAGATGTCTAGATGAGGCATTCTTTCCAAGCTTCCTAACAGCTCTGATAAAATTGGGATGCTACAGTATTAAGTGTTAATGATTGCATACTTGAGCTCAGCTTTTCAGCACCTTCATTTGTTAGGGAAAAAAAGTGGTCTTAGAGTTGTCAAAATACAGAAAGTCCACACCCCAATAATAATATACTTTTTCTCTCCAGAGCGCTTCAGACTCTCATTCAGCTCCTTTTACCTACATTTTACCATAATATGTACATGCTTTTTAGAATGTCAGCCATCAGGGAATGAGCCATTATGTGTCTAGTACAGGACCTAAAACAGTACTAAGTACAGTATGTGTTGAGTACATGAAAGCTTGGGTGTTTAGTTCCTCAGCTCAAAGCAGATTAAAGTAGTAATTAAGAGAAGTTACTATTACAAGCCAGCTGATGAGACTGGTGGGGAAAGTGGTGGTTAACAGTCTGGCAAGGGAGGAAAGAGAAAACCTTTTATAAAAGCTCAGTGGTGTCGTTCAGTTTAGCATATGATAGAATAGGTCCACTAACATCACCTCTGAGAGTGTGTTGAATTATAGTGCAGTATTAAGTATGGCCTATTAAAGAAATCATGACAAAATGCTTAAAAGTGTTTTACCAGTGCCTAGGTACCTGGAAAACTCAGCTGATAGTACTGTCAGAGGGTTTCATATAGCCCTTTTATTATAGAGACTGGTTATACATCAGCAAACTTTTGGTATTTTGTCCAGGAATCTCCACACTTGGAGAAGTTGATAAGATAAAAGATCATTCTCTTTCAAAGAGAATGTTTCATATATATATATATGTGTGTGTGTATATATGTGTGTGTATATATAATATATATACTTTTTTTTACTGAGACAGCGTCTCACTGTGTCACCCAGGCTGAAGTGCAGTGGCGTGATCTTGGCTCACTGCAACCTCCATCTCCTAGGTTCAAATGATTCTTCTGCTTCAGCCTCCCAAGTAGCTGGGACTACAGGCACGCGCCACCATGCCTGGCTAATTTTTGTATTTTTAGTAGAGACGGGGTTTCGCCATGTTGGCCAGTCTGGACCCAAACTCCTGACCTCAGGTGATCTACCTGCCTTGGCTTCCCAAAGTGTTGGAATTACAGGTGTGAGCCACCGCTCGGCCTGTTTCATATATTTTAAGGCAAGGCAGACCCTAGGTTTACTATTCAGGGAAGAATAAAGGTTTTTTCCTTTAATGTTTTGACTTCAATGACTGCATAGTGGGTCTCTTAACCAATGTAATGAGCCATCCATTAGATACTCACATACAAAGAAAACTTCAGCCCCTGAAATACTAAATTCATTTCTAAGTAATTAACAGAAGCAGAAGTTGTAGCGTCAGTTGGACATTTCATCTAGAAGAGGGCAAACAGGATTTTTTAGCTTTTACTTTTAGCAGACAGGATTCCCAGTGTCTCACTGCAACATTTTTTCTGTCTGTTTACAGCACTCTCTTTTCATTCTCTTTTTTTTTTTTTTTTTTTTTCTTAGACGGAGTCTTGCTCTGTTCCTAGGCTGGAGTACAGTGGCACAATCTCAGCTCACTGCAACTTTCACCTCCCAGGTTGAAGCAATTCTGGTGCCCCAGCCTCTCGTAGCTGGGATTTCAGGCGCCCGCCACTACACCCAACTAATTTTTGTATTTTTAGTAGAGACGGGGTTTCACCATGTTGGCCAGGTTGGTCTCGGACTCCTGACCTCGTGATCCGCCTGCCTCAGCCTCCCAAAGTGCTGGGATTACAGGCGTGAGCCACTGCGACCGGCCTTCTCTTTTCATTTTCTCACCCTGTCCAGCTTGGTGTTCCTTATAGCTCTGTTTAAATACCAACTCTATACAAGTGTCTCAAAAGCATTACTGTTAGCCCTAACTGAAGTAAATAGCTTTGTGACTCAAGATATTTCAGTACACCAAGCACCTTTCATGATTCAGCCCCATAAGAAGTTGGAAAGGTATGATGTCATAGGAAAAAGTAGTTTTGAAAGCCAAAATTAGCCTGCTTAAGTTTTCTTATTACCATTTTGCCTTAATTTTGGGTGACTCTACTGTTACTATATAGATGAGAAACTGAGGCTCTAAGACATTAAATGACTCATCTAAAATGCCCAGATCAAGTAAGCAGTACAGCTAAGATTAACCCCAGAGTTAATACTCCTTGCTTTGGCCAGGCACAGTGGCATATACCTCTAATCCCATTGCTTTGGGAGGCCAACACAGGAGGATCACTTGAGTTCAGGAGCTTGAGGCTGCAGTGAACTATGATCATGCCTCTGCACTCGCCTGAGCAATAGAGCAAGGTTCTGTATCTTAAACAAGAATCCTAGCTTTGCCTCATACAAGAAATGTGTTTGGAGGTTTGAGGTTCCCGGGGTTGACCTGCAAAATAGATTTAGTCCTTTAACTTCTGTTTCCTTCCTGCCAGGTGATCAAATCTCAGCTAAATGTGTCTTCTGTCAGTGAGCAGAATGCATATAGAGCAGGTCTTCAGCCCGTCAGCAAGTGGCAAGCCTATGGACTCAAAGGCTATCCTGGTGAGTGTAACTGACCTCAGAGAAGGCAATATCACTCAATCATTTATGTCTTCATGTCTTCAAAGAAGGTACTGTGTGTGAGCAAGTAAATAGACAAAGGATACACATAATAAACAGATAAATGTTTCATTTCCAAACCCATTCTAGACTGTACCTTGTCTAAGACGTCCGTTTTGAAAGGATAGAACAGGAGTCAGCAGTGCCTGCAAATGTGGCTGAAAGTGGCATGACCATTGAAAAAATAAGGACATTGCCTCTGGGCTCCCTGCCACAACTCTGAACATCTGATTTGGCAGAAGTGCTGTGAAGAATAATTTATCATTATCATTGTAATAAATGTCATAATAGTTATGAATAATTCATAATTGTCCCTCTAGTCACATTCTCAAATGGCATAACAACTTAAAACTTGTTGCTATCAAGGCTGAACATATTTAATAAAGAATTACAATTAATGACATCAAAAGTCCTCGCCAGGCGTGGTGGCTCATGCCTGTAATCCCAGAACTTTGAGATGCCAAGGTGGGTGGATCACCTGAGGTCAGGAGGTCAAGACGAGCCTGGCCAACATGGTGAAATCCCGTCTCTACTAAAAATACAAAAATTAGCTGGGCATGGTGGTGCGTGCCTGTAATCCCAGCTACTTGGGAGGCTGAGACAGGAGAATCGCTTGAACCCAGGAGGTGGAGGTTTCAGTGAGCCAAGATCGCGCCATTGCACTCCAGCCTAGGCAATAAGGGGGAAACTCTGTCTCAAAAAAAAAAAAAAAAAAAAAGCTGGACGCAGTAGCTCACGCCTGTAATCCCAACACTTTGGGAGGCCGAGGCGGGCGGATCACGAGGTCAGGAGATTGAGACCATCCTGGCTAACAAGGTGAAACCCCATCTCTACTGAAAATACAAAAACAAAATTAGCCGGGCATGGTGGCGGGCCCCTGTAGTCCCAGCTACTCGGCAGGCTGAGGTGGGAGAATGGCATGATCCCGGGAGGCAGAGCTTGTTGAGCCGAGATTGTGCCACTGCACTCCAGCCTGGGCAATAGAGCAAGACTCCATCTCAAAAAAAAAAAAAAGAAAGTCCTAATAGGGACCAGGCGAGGTGTCTCACACCTATAATCCCAACACTTTAGAAGGCCAAGGTGGGAGGATCATTTGAGCCCAGGAATTTGCGACCAGCCCGGGTAACATAGTAAGACCCTGTCTCTACAAAACAAAATTTTTTTTTCCCAGACAGTCTCACTCTGTCGCCCAGGCTGGAGTACAGTGGCACAATCTCAGCTCACTGCAACCTCCGCCTGCCAGGTTCAAGTGATTCTTCTGCCTCCCGAGTAGCTGAGACTACAGGTATATGCCACCACGCCCAGCTAATTTTTGTATTTTTAGTAGAGACAGGGTTTCATGTTGGCCAAGCTGGTTTCGAACTCCTGACATCAAGTGATCCACCCGCCTCGGTCTCCCAGAGTGCTAGGATTACAGGCGTGAGACACCTCACCTGGCCAAAAAAAATGTTTTTAATTAGCCAAGTGTGGTGGCATGCCTCTGTAGTCTCAGCTACTCAGGAGACTGAGGTAGGAGGATTGCTTGGGGTGCAGTGAGCCGAGATCGTGCCACTGCACTCCAGCCTGGGTGACAAAATGAGACCCATCTCATTTTGCAGAATAGATTCGTCTGCAATTTTAAATTTAGTAATGTTAGGTAGCTGCTTTTACAGAGAATGAAATTAAGAAAATAATGAAGAATAGGTAATGTTATTAACCTTTTTTCTAGGCTCCTGGGGCCATTGTAAAAGTTAACATTGCACTTGTGATTTCAAATATGGGTTAAAAGTAAGAGAAATCTTTAAAAAGAAATGTTAGTTTTCATTGTGCCAATGGCCAGGACTCTATGGTACAGCTCTTAATACGTTATGACCACCGAAATACTTGTTAATAGCTTGGGAAGATATAACAGCCTGGCTCCTCTTGAGTTTGGGTAAATGTAGAGCATGCATCACCAATAGTCTTGTTCTTGGAGGCCGCTCCTCACCTTTCAACTCTAGCACTTATTTTTATTTATTTATTTATTTATTTTGAGACAGAGTCTTGCTCTGTCGCCTAGGCTGGAGTGCAGTGGTGTGATCTCCGCTCACTGCAGCCTCTGCCTCCCAGGTTCAAGCAATTCTCCTCTCTCAGCCTCCCAAGTAGCTGGGACTACAGGCACCCGCCACCACGCCCAGCTAACTTTTTTGTGTTTTTAGTAGAGATGGGGTTTCACCATGTTGGTCAGGCTGGTCTTGAACTCCTGACCTCAGGTGATCCACCTGCCTTGACCTCCCAGAGTGCTGGGATTACAGGCGTGAGCCACCACGCCCGGCCTCTAGTACCTATTTTTAAGGCCATGATTCTCTGTTGCTCTAGGCTTTCTCCCCTTAACAGATTGTTCATGCCACAAACTTAACCCCACTTGAGTTTTAAATTGTCTAAACTGCTGTACTTGCTTTCTGAGGCTTTCTAGGATTTACTGCTTAATTAAGCCACATCTTTTGGGTGGGTGTCCCATTATATCCTTGGAGAGTTTATTCTGTCTCTCTTGCCATTATAAGCTGTGTTTATTTTATTTATTTATTTTTTACTTACTTTCCCCTATAAGCTGTATTTAATAGAAATATAATGTCCAAAATACAGGAGAGAACAGTCTCTTCTTACTCTGAGTTGATCAAAAGGATTGTGTTTACTTCTGGATCTGACTTAATCTGAAGGAAGCTGAGTATACTACAACCTGTCCTCACACTTGTGTGAGGACACATCCTCTTGAACAAGAGGATAATAGGCCTGGAAACCAGAAACAGAATCTAGGGAAGAAAAGACTTATGGGGGAACTTGACAGCATTAAACATTGAAAAATTGTCCTGCACAAGAAGTGGTGGGAAGCAGTGCACACCAGTGGTTAAGGCGTAGGTTCTGGTGCCAGGTTACCTGGGTTCATATCCTGGCTCTGCCATCTACTAACTGTAAGACTTTGGGCAAGTTTTTAAATTCTCTTGCCCTCAGTTTCATCATATGTAAAATGTATATAAAAATAGTACCTACTTCATAAGGTTCTTATGAGGATTAAATGTTAATGTATATGTTAACTGCTTAGATCAGTGCATTTATCAAGCACTTAAAAATGATTTGGGGTTGCTCTAGGTGTCAGAACCCAAGACCAATGACTGAAAATTATAGAGAGGCAGATTTTTTTTTTAATCTGGAGAACATGTAGATGCAAGATGGGCAGAGTTTGGTTTTGTTTGTTTTCTTGAGACAGGGTCTCATTCTGTCACCCAGTGGGGTGCAGTAGCACAATCACGCTTCACTGCAGCCCTGACCTCCCAGGCTTAAAGGTTCCTCCCACCTCAGCCTGCCTAGTAGCTGGGACCATTGGCTTGCACCACCATGTCCAGCTAATTTTTTTTTTATTTATTTTTTGTAGAGATGGGGTCCCACTATGTTGCTCAGGCTAGTCTGGAACTCCTGGACTCAAGTGATCCCCCTGCCTCGGCCTCCCAGAGTGCTGGGATTACAGACCTGAACCACTGTGCCTGGCTAGGAGGCAGATTTTAACCCACTAAAAAGAAGACAACAGTTGTCTAAAATGGACTGCCTAAAGAGATGTTAAATTTCCTGTCACCATTCAAGCTTGGACTAAACCAGAAGTATTATTCCTTTAGTCTAATATGTTTGGGAATATTATAATATTCTTTATTTCGTGAAATTGTGGTGATAGCAGGTGGTAGGTTGTTGGGGGGTTTCCTATCTTTTTCCATAATATTGATGATCCTATCATTCTCCCAAACTATTTGGAGAATTTTACTGATAAATGAAACATAAAATCCAAATGTATTTTGGAGCTACTTTAGAAGACATATGAAAAATCAGATTACTGGTAAACTTTGTCTGTATGAGGTTTCCTTGATGCCAAAAGCTCATTGACTTTGGTCATTAGGTTTACTTTGGAGTATATGCTATTGATAATATTAAATGGTGGAACAGGATTAATCAACTGCAATGAGGAACCTGTCCACATTGAATATCTCTAAGCTATCTAGTTTTTTTCTATATCTGCAAGAATCTAGACATAGAATTTTAAGTGCTTTTAGTAAGATTTAGTACAGTAGAGGAATCTTCAGGTTATTTCCTGTGTATTTCTACGATGGCATAACCTCCTTTCAGCTGAACCATATGTGGTTTTAAATCTCTTTGAAATTCTGATAGTGGACCATTGATGATATTGTTCAGAGATTTGTTTGGTTAGAGCCTAGTATTTATTTATTTATTTTTATTTATTTATTTATTTTTTGAGACAGAGTCTTGCTTGTCGCCCAGGCTGGAGTGCAGTGGTGTGATCTCTGCTCACTGCAAGCTCCACCTCCCGGGTTCATGCCATTCTCCTGCCTCAGCCTCCCAAGTAGCTGAGACTACAGGCGCCCGCCACCACGCCCAGCTAATTTTTTGTATTTTTTAGTAGAGACGGGGTTTCATTGTGTTAGCCAGGATGGTCTTGATCTCCTGACCTCGTGATCCGCCCTCCTTGCCTCCCAAAGTGCTGGGATTACAGGCATGAGCCACCGCGCCCAGCCAGAACCTAATATTTATAATGCAAAGAGCATAGGTTTGTTGCTTATGTGGGCTTACTGGTTTTGCTTGTTCCATGGCCGCAAATCCAACTCTGTTTGTCGTATCCCAGATTGTTTGTTTGTCTTATCTCAAATGTGTGCTAGCCTTGTGATGGGCCAGGAGAGAGGGATGAATCAGTGAAGCCATGTTACCCCTCTGAAATTCTGTTCTCTTATCTGCAAAACTGGATTAATAACTTCCTCATAGAGTTACTGAAGATTAATGAGATAGCATAAGGTTGCTGGCACAGTGTCTGACACTTGTAGGCATCTAGTTATTTTTAGCAGCTACTATAATTAATGACTTAGGAATAAACTTACTTATTGTTAATTGCTGTTATTAAACTTTATCATTATTCCATTAATTTATGACTAAATTATATGCCAAAGAGAAAAGAGGAAAAGTAGTTAAGTAATAACAAAGTTGTTTCTGTTTTAGGCTCTCGGCTCAGTGTCTTTACTGTCTGCTTTCCATAGTAATTCTCCCTAAGGATATTTCCATAAAATGTGTCGTTATTGCTAATAGTCTACGCCAGGACTTGGCAAACTGCAGTTTTATTGTAAATACATTTTATTGGAATACAGCCACACCTTTTTGTTTACTTACTATGTATGGCTGCTTTCTGGCTACAGTGACAGAATTGAGTGCTAAAGAGACCGAATAAGGGCAAGCGCAGTGGCTCAGGCCTGTAATCCCAGCACTTTGGGAGGCCGAGGCGGGCAGATCAGTTGAGGCCAGGAGTTCAAGACCAGCCTGGCCAACATGGCAAAATGCCGTCTCTACTAAAAAATAAAAATAGAAAATAAATTAAAATACAAAAATTAGCCAGGCATGGTAGTCCAAGCCTGTAATCTCATCTACTCAGGAGGCTGAGGCAGAAGAATCGCTTGAACCAGGGAGGTGGAGGTGGCAGTGAGCCAAGATTGTGCCTGGGTGACAGAGCAAGACTCTGTCTCAAAAAAATAAAAATAAAGAGACCAAATAACTGTCGAAGCCTAGTCTTTACTATCTAGTTCTTGACAGAAAACATTTGCTGACCTCTGGTCTAGACTAGATCTGGAGTTCAACCAGGAACTGAAGAAGACCTTCAAATTATTGCCAGCATTTAATTCAGAAATCCTTAAGCTTTAGTCTGTTCATCTGTTTTTAAAATCCTTTTGCAAGGGGAACATTACACTAATATATGATGCTTGGCTTTTATATCATTGCTTGGATTCCTTCTTGTTCCTCAGGACCTGTCCAACCATGCTCACTTTTGTTGAGATGACCTTGCTATTTATCTTATTGGGAAAACTGAGTCCCTCAGGCACAAACCCTTTGAGCCTTCAATGCCCCCAACACTTATAAGCAAATGTTCTCATTTCCACCATCCAGTCGTAGAGGAGGAGTTCCTTTAGTTCAAAGCCAGTCTCTCTACCCTCTTGATCCATCTCACCTTCTTAAACCTCTTCCAGCTTTCAAGACCTTGCTCTATTTCTTTCCTCTCTTCTGTTTCCAAGTGGCTCTTCCCTGTTGGCTCTTTCTTCACAATCTGTAAGCATACTTAGGTCTTGCCAGTCCTTAAAAACCAAAAACTACCCTCTTAACTCTATTTTTCTGTGACTATGCCTAAGCTTTTATTTTCTTTCATAGCTGGTCTTACAAAAAGGAGTTTAACTTGTCTTTATTGCCCCCTCTCCAGACAAGGTTTTTTATCACTTTATCTCTAATTCTTTTTTTTTCTTTTGAGGCAGTCTGTTTTTGTCACCCAGGCTGGAGTACAGTGGTGCAGTCTTGGCTCACTGCAACCTGTGCCTCCTGGGTTCAAGCGATCCTCCCACCTTAGCCTCCCAAATAGCTGGGACTACCTGCGTATGCCACCACGCCTGGCTAATTTTTGTATTTTTTGTAGAGACAGGGTTTCACCATGCTGCCCAGGCTGGTCTCGAATTCCTGAGCTCAAGTGATCTGCCTGCCTTGGCCTTTCAAGTGCTAGGATTACAGGCATCGGCCAGGCCACCATGCCCGGCTTCTAATTCTTTTTTTTTTTTTTTTTTTTTATTACAGCAAATGATTTTATTTGTAATTTCTACCCCACTCAGTGCCTCCTCCCAAAAAACCTGCACATGAATTTACAAACCTATTAACGTATAAATAATGAGAAACATCCTGGCCAGAGTCTCCCGGTTGTCTTTGCTGGAGATTAAGACTGGAGGGGACGCTATCTTCATACACACTTCCAGTGACATCGAGAGTCACTTGGTGGCTGTTCTGGGCCCACAGCTGGCTTTTTCAACACCTCCAAGTTCAACCACCAGTCTGTCTGCTGTGTCCAAGGTAGAGCCCAGGGACTGCGAGCATGTGCAGCTCCATTGCCCGTCATTGCTCCAGCTGAGGTCATGCTGGAAGGGGTGCTTCCTCTCCTGACAGTGCTTCATGGTGGCCAGCCCGCTCCTGCTGGCACTCAGAGCCTCAGTACTGGGCCACCTGGCAGCACCCACAGATTTTGAACTCCTGGAGCTACTTCTCAATCACTGTGCAGGAAGGGTAATGCTGCTATAGTAGGTGTAAGAATTCAACTCTTCCACCACGTCTCCATTGGTGTTACAGTACCAGGTCACAGTTAGGACAGGTCACTGCTCTTCTTTGGGGTCCATGGGAAGCTGCTGAATTGCAAACCAGTACAAGCTTTGCTACCTCTTCTGGAGGTCTCTTTGGCTTTGGGCCACCAGCCCCACAGCACCAGCTACAGGTTGTCCAGGCAATTGTCTCAGTCAGGGCATTGAGACGTACCGCCTGGAACCCAGGGGTCATGCCTCTTCTGTGCTCCCACAGCAACTCATGAAGGAGTCTTCCCAATCCTCTTCCTCAGTGCTTGTCAAAAGCATACCTGAATATCTTAGTACCATTTCTATCTGCATCTACTTCCATTTGGACCTCAGAGGAGTATCCCTCCACCAGCAGGATATCTTTGCTCATCTGTCAGCGTATTTGGTCTTTATCTGACTGCATACTGCCTATACTACTCTCTCCTACCAGAAGCTACAGCCACTGGTGACAGGAACAGAGCTCTCATGAGGGTAAAGTCCCTGGCTAGTACAGCTACACAGGTAGCTCCCTCGCAGCCAATGAGCTGAGCCATGTGATGTCCAATTTGAAGTCAGTCACAGCCAGGCCTATGCTCTCAGCCAGCAGTGCCACTCCCATGGGAGACAGGGGTGCTGGGGCAAGGCCAGGGCTAGGGTCAGGCCAGGCAGGCCCCAGGTAGGACAAGACCAGGCCCGGCTCACCTTGTTCATGCCAGACCTCCCAGGCACTGACCTCTAATTCTTAAGAAAGTGCCTAGTACAGACCAGCCTGGCCAATATGGTGAAACCCCGTCTCTACTGAAAATAAAAAAAATTAGCTGGGTACAGTGGCAGGCACCTGTAATCACAGCTACTTGGGAGACTGAGGCAGGAGAATCACTTGAACCCGGGAGGCAGAGGTTGCAGAGAAGCAGGATCACACCACTGTTCTCCAGCCTGGGCAACAGGATGAGAGAGACCCCCATCTCAAAAAAAGAAAGAAAGAAAGTGCCTGGCACATATTGTGTGTTTGATGAATGAATGAATCTTTACCATGCGTAGGATTCCAGTTAAATATTATTATTTATCTTTTGTTTTTGAGACAGAGTCTGGCTCTGTCGCCCAGGCTGGAGTGCAGTGACGTGATCTTGGCTCACTACAACCTCCACCTCCTGGGTTCAAGTGATTCTCCTGCCTCAGCCTCCTGAGTAGCTGGGATTACAGGTGCGTGCCACCACGCCCAACTAATTTTTGTATTTTAGTACAGACGGTTTCACCATGTTGGCGAGGCTGGTCTCAAACTCCTGACCTCATGTGATCCGCCCACCTCAGCCTCCCAAAGTGCTGGGATTACAGGCGAGAGCCACCACGCCCGGCCTATTATTAATCTTTTACAGAGAAAAATGAGGTTAGGTTGCTGTCAAGGTCACAAAGATCTTTAACACACATGCTGTAATTGTTTACAAACACTGAGATAATACAGAGACACTAACTGCAGGAATTTGCAAACACTGAGATATTACAGAGACAGTAACTGCAGGAAGCAACTGTCACCCCTGCAGCTGAGAAGAACAACAAAAGAGCTTGGGATTACTACATTGAGAAGCTTGGAAAAGGGACTACATGGAACTGGGGCTTAGACTTCTGAGGAGAGGACATAATGAGGCTGATTCTAGTGATGTGGAAAAGCTACATTAGAACCAACTTCCGCCCTCCAGTCTTCCATTAGTGACCCTTATAGGCACAGGTTAGCAGACAGCCAGCTGGCAAATAAGAAATGTAGCTGGCAGGGTCTCAGCCCCATATTATGAAGCTAAGTATAGAAGAGTGGATTTGAAACTGAGAGAAAATAGACCAATAATGAGCACGCCATTCATTAGACGATGACTTTCAAATCTATGTTTTAGCTAAAATTCATTATAAGATTTCGTGTAATCATGCCTGTAATAAATGAAATAGGGAGGTAAAGAAGTCTCGGATGACTCTAAGTGTCAAGACCTGATAAAAATTAGAGGTGTACTTTTACCACTTCCAATTCTAAAGTTTGCTTTGGGATAACAGTTGTTGTGGAATATTTATTTCTCTTGAGAATACCCAGAAAGCCAGACACATTTGCATAGGGGTAGATGTCTAATGTTCATCAAAACCTACCTGTTCATTAACTTGAAGCATGACCAAAAAAATATGGGGAGTAAATAACAAAATAGTGAGTATAAAGATGTCAAAATTATTTGAATAACTGATGGAGAATTTCCCCCTCTTCTTTTTTTCCCACCCATCTTTTGTATAGGGTTTATTTTTATCCCAAACCCCTTCCTCCCAGGTTACCAGTGGCACTGGGTGAAACAGTGCCTTAAGTTATATTCCCAGAAACCTAATGTATGTAACCTGGACAAACACATGTCTAAAGAAGAGACCCAAGATCTGTGGGAACAGAGCAAAGAGTTCCTGAGGTAAGTCTTGTCAATCAGAATGAAGTGTTAATACTCAGCTCAGATCATCACAGGTCTTTGAAGGAACTGTTCTATAACAATGCAGTAAAAGTGACTGGCTGGGTTTTTTTTTCCCTTCATTGTTTCCAAGCAAAAACAGCACAATTGTATTCTTTCCCCAGGAACATTTGGACAGATGCTTTGACAGTTATAGTAAATTGAGATCCATTTTAAAGACTTGCTTATCATAGCTTAGATAATTGAGTTCATCCTCATTAATCATCACATGATCCATTTCCATTAGCTTCAGCCATTTTTTTCTACTTAAAGTGAGTTCCTTTGAAGGCTTTTGGTATCCTAGGAAAGGTAACATCGAAAGCTCTTTGCTTCTACCCTCCTAGATGGATTCAGTGGTACTAGCCGTTTTATGATAGGTCAGTTGTTCCTGATGAGAATAACTAATATTTTCACCTTCATGCTTCAACATTCATTCATTCATTCCACAAATACTTAATGAGGGTCAGTAGTGTGTCAGGCATGATGCTAGGCGTTGGACACAGAAAGATAAAGGCACCCTCCCTGCACTCAGTAGTGCATAGTCTCTGGCAAGAATGCATTACCTATGAGAATAATTACTGTAGAGCTCAGAAAGTGTTATGATGCGGTTTAGAAAAATACTGTGGGAGCATAGAGGAGGAAATAATTATTCCAGGCAGGGTAGAAGTGTGAACGAAGAAAAAATGATTTTTTGTTTGTTTGTTTTTTGTTTTTTGAGACAGAGTCTCACTCTGTCACCCAGGCTGGAGTGCAGTGGCGCGATCTCAGCTCACTGCAACCTCTGCCTCCTGGATTAAAACGATTCTCCTGCCTCAGTCTCCTGAGTAGCTGGGATTACAGGCATCCACCACCACGCCCCACCAATTTTTGTATTTTTAGTAGAGATGGGGTTTCGCCATGTTGGCCAGGCTGGTCTCAATTCCTGACCTCAAGTGATCCCCCTGCCTCAGATTCCCAAAGTGCTGAGACTACAGGCGTGAGCCACCAAGCCCGGCCTGAAAAAATGATTTTTTTATTGGGTTATCCTCCTTTCACTGTCCATTTGAACTAATCTTCAAAAATGAGTAGGGGTTTACCAGTCAGAAAAGTAAAAAGTCTCTACTGAGTAGAGAAAGCAGCCTGAGCAAAGATACAATATTTAAGACAGAATAAATCGTCCTGCGAGACAAGAGCATAGGATGTGTACTTTCTTACGTTTATTCAGTTGTTATCTATTGAGTTTCTGCTATGTGTCAGACACTGTGCTTTAGTGTTAGAGATTCAAAGGCAGATAAAAAACAGTTCCTGTCTTCAAGAAATTTGTACTTTAGTTATGTTCAAAAACCTACAAACAGATAATTAGATACAATTTGGGTCTGGGCTTGGTGGCTCATGCCTGTAATCTCAACACTTTGGGAGGCCAAGGTGAGAAGAACACTTGAGGCCTGGAGTTACCAGCCTGGGCAACATAGCAAGACCCCATCTCTATGAAAAAAAATTTTTTTTTTTTTTTTTTGAGACGGAGTTTCGCTCTTGTTGCCCAGGCTGGAGTGCAATGGCATGATCTTGGCCCACTGCAACCTCCACCTCCCGGGTTCAAGCAATTCTCCTGCCTCAGCCTCCAGAGTAGCTGGGATTACAGGCAAGCGCCACCACACCCGGCTAATTTTGTATTTTTAGTAGAGGTAGGGGTTTCTCCATGTTGTTCAGGCTGGTCTTGAACTCCCGACCTCAGGTGATCTGCCCACCTCGGCCTCCCAAAGTGCTGGGATTACAGGTGTAAGGCACTTCCCGGCCCCAAAAAAATTTTTTTTTTTAATTAGCTGGGCATAGTGGTGTGTGCCTGTAGTCCTAGCTACTCGGCAGGCTGAGGAGAGACTGTCTCTAAAAATAAATAAATTAAATAAATAAATAAATAAATAAATACAATTTGGTAGGTGCAGGGACAGACATTATAAGATATAATGGGAATGGTCACTTAAGTAGCTAGGCTGGAGGTAGATTATAGAAAATGCTTCCTGGAAGCCATGAGTAGGTGGAATTGGTAAAACATGAAGGAGGAGAGGTGGATTTGGGCCAGATGGTAAAGGTTTTAGTGATGTAGAGCAGGGGGGTCCCCAATCATGGGGCAGCAGACCTAGACAGCCAAGCATTACCACCTGAGCTTCGCCCCCTGTCAGATCAGCAGCAGCATTAGATTCTCATAGGAGCGCGAACCCTGTTGTGAACTGTACATGCAAGGGATCTAGGTTGCGCACTCCTTATTGAGAATCTAATGCCTGTTCATCTGAGATGGAACAGTTTTCATCCCCAAACCACCCCCCATCCCCACTCCATCCATGGACAAATTCTCTTCCATGAAACTGGTCCCCAGTGCCAAAAAGGTTGGGAACCACTAATGTAGAGCACTAGTTCTGGAGTCAGACTGACTGTGTTCAGATCCCAGCTCCACCACTTAATAGCTGTGTAACCTTGAGCAAGTTCCTTCACCTTTCTGTGTCTCATAACAGTTCTTTCCTTATTGAATAGTATGAGGATTAAACAAGATAATACGTGAGAAGTCCTTTAAAGTGCCTGTTAAAACCATTTTACCAACTTTGTGTCCCGTTTGGTGTTACGTGGCCTTAATTTTGTAGTTTTCAGAAACTGTCATGCCGATTCTAACAGAGTAAAGAGAAGATTTTCTTAAGGGGAAAGGAAAAGTAAAATTCAGTGGTTTTTTTTAAACCTTGGTCTATAGGTTATGGTATCAACAGGAGCAGTGAGGAAAATCCTGTCCATGAGCTTTTAGTAGTGTCTTCTTCGCAACTGAGAGCAGGGGAAAGGAAGATCGTGGTTAAGTAAAATTAGTCCAAGAGAACCTACTGCTATTAAACCAGCCTGTGTTTTCAAGTAATTTTTTTTCCTTCTGATATATGACTCTGCAGAAATCCCAGCTGTCTTTTAAGATAGCTCAGATGAATCTCTGTAATAAATCATCCTGTAAACAATGGTGAGATACCTTTTTTTTGGTCTAATAAATTAGCAGAAATAAAAAATTTGATGGTCGTACCTTATGTTGTCAAGGGTTGGAAGAAATTGATATGCTCAAGACATTGTACTGGCAGCACTGAAAATCGATTAAGGCCAAGTTTTCATTGTATCACTATGTGATACGTGCTTCAGTTTCCTCATGTAAGAAATGAAGGTATTGGACTGGATAAGCCATTCAAGGTAATTGAATCATGGGCAGTCAGGGTCATGTGGACAGTACCTGGCAGCTCTCCCAACTTTGCCAGAGTCTCTCAGAACAGGAGAGAGTCTGTTGAGTTCAAAACAGTTCCCCTGGAGATTTTGATTAGGTATCATAACATCCTCTGACATTGAGAACCACTGAAGTAAAGGACCTCTAAGATCCTTTTGGTTTTAATTTTCTAGAATTCTATAGTCAGGGAAGAAAAAACTTTAAATAGGAAATGAAGAAGAAATACTTGAACTTAAGCAAAAACAAAAATTATTTAAAAAAAAATACTTGAACTTAAGGACTGTTCAAAAAATTAGAGTACCTCAATTCTGTTCTTTTTTTTCCAAAGTGAATGGCGTAGCTAGAGATTGTTGTAAAAGTGTACAAGAGTTATGTGCAGGCCGGGCACGGTGGCTCATGCCTGTAATCCCAGCACTTTGGGAGGCCGAGTTGGACAGATCATCTGAGGTCAGGAGTTCGAGACCAGCCTGACCAACATGGTGAAACCCCGTCTCTACTAAAAATACAAAATTAGCCGGGCATGGTGGCGCATGCCTATAATCCCAGCTACTCAGGAGGCAGAGGCCGGAGAATCACTTGAACCCGGGAGGCGGAGGTTGCGGTGAGCCGAGATCACGCCATTGCACTCCAGCCTGGGCAACAAGAGTGAAACTCCGTCTCAAAAAAAAAAAAGAGTTATGTGTAAACATCTTCATTGTGACATTGTTTGTAACAGAAAAAAAAAATGCAAAACAGCCTAAGAGTTCATCAACAGGCGACCAGGTAAATCTAACGTGACATATCCCAGACATAGAATGCAGCTGCTGTGCAAGGATTAAAAAAACTTTAAATGCAACCCTCTAGTATATATTCCAGACTTCAAAGCCAGAATAAATTCAGTCATTTCTCACCATCTCCATCACAACTGCCTTGGTCTAAGCTGCCATCATTTCTTATCTAGAGCACTGCAGTAGCCTCCTAACCAGCCTCCCTTCATAGCACAAACTCAGGTGTGGTTCCAAGGGCCCACCTTGATTAACAGTGACACTTTATCACTCAGGAAATTTCAAGGGTTTAGAAGTTCCCTGCCAGGAGCCAGGGACAAAGACCAGTCAAATTCTTTGTTGCATAACATCATCACATTTAGAAAAAATCCAGAATTCTTAACCATGGCTGTAAGGCCAATATGACCTGGCCCACAGCTACCTCTCTACTCTCATTTCCTACCATTCCTACCTCATTTCCTTTTCATTTGTTCTTTTCTGCCACATTGACCTCCAGTGCTATCCTTAAACACACTAGGCATGCTCAAGATTTTTTTTTTTGTACAGGCTGTTCTACCTAGGAAGCTCTTCCCTTAGATCAACAGTGTCTTGCTTCTTGTAAGTCTTTGTTCTAATATCATCTTAGAAGAAAGTCTTCACTTATCATTCAGTCAACAAGAATCTCCTACTTCCCCTCATTCTTTATCTTCTTGCTTTGGTTTGTTTGTTTATTGCCACTTTTTTTTAGAGATGGTGTCTTGCTATGTTGCCCAGGCTGCCTTGAACTTCTGGGCTGAAGCAGTTGCCCCACCTCAGCCCCCTGAATAGCCGGAACTACAATTTTCTGTCTATTTTTTGTTTTCTAAATTTTTTGCTTGATTTTTTTTTTAATTAAGTGCAACATAGTTGCCAAATAACAACTTAGCTTTATTTGTTCTGTAAATTAGCTTATGAAATACTCTATTTTTATGTATATGAAAGCTTTTTTCCCACTGTTACCCTCATTGTGGAAGCAGAATTAATCCTCTCCTCTTTCTACTTGACTGTTTATAATGCTAGTATAGCATTTTTTCTAGTGAATTGAGTTATCTACCCCTGTCTCCTTCCATTGCCTTCCTCTCCCATCTTGAAAATTTTGTAGCCTTGATTCTTACCACAGTTCTTTGTATATATTAGAAGGTGCTCAGTAAATATTATTTCAATTAAATTCATATTCCCTCTTTATTAGTCCAATAAGAACAATGCTAAATTTGAGAAGGATCATTTAGAGACTATATAGCTTTTCTTCTTATTTTCACTAATTTATTAAATAATGTACATTTGTGTCTTAGAAAATATGTGATGCTAGGATAGCTATGAAGAAGAATAAAAGCCAGTGAGGGAGGGACTGTTAAAGGAGGAACCCAGGTACTTAAATAAGGAATTTACAATACCAAAGCATGTATACTTGAATAGAAGTTGCAAGGTGCTTTGGGGGCACGATATAGGAAATGGCTGGGAGAAAGACTTCCCAGAAGAAGTGAGTGTAAACTGTATGAAAAAACAAATTGGAAAAATCTGCTAGGCTGAGAGTGGAGTAGAGCATTTCAGTAGAGAAAATTGTATAGTCAGAGGCACGGCCATGAAAAACATGAGAATAGCATACCTTGTGGGAAATGCTTGGAGATGAGACTAGAAAGGTTAGTTAGAGCCAGAATATAAATGGCTCTGCATGTCATCTAAGAGTGTGGACTTTGTCCTATTAACAGTGGGTATTTATCAGGATTAATAACAGATTTTTCACTTCAGAAAAATAACTCTGGTAGTGGAGGAAATTGACTGAAAATGCAGTGGTTGCAAAAAGCACAATTAAGAATTTAGTTCAGGCCAGGCGCGGTGGCTCACACCTATAATCCCAGCACTTTGGGAGGTCAAGGTGGGGGGATCACCTGAGGTCGGGAGTTCAAGACCAGCCTGGCCAACATGGTGAAACCCCGTCTCTACTAAAAATACAAAAAATAGCTGGGCATGGTGGCAGGCGCCTGTAATCCCAGCTACTAGGGAAGCTGAGGTGAGAGAATCGCTTGAACGTGGGAGAATCGCTTGAACCCGGCAGGTGGAGGTTGCAGTGAGCCAAGATCGCACCACTCTACTCCAGCCTGCGCGACAGAATGAGACTCTGTCTCAAAAAAAAAAAAAAAAAGGCTGGGTGCAGTGGCTCACACCTGTAATCCCAGCACTCTGGGAGGCTGAGGTGGACGGATCACGAGGTCAAGAGATCAAGACCATCCTGGCCAACATGGTGAAACTCTGTCTCTACTAAATCTACAAAAATTATCCGGACATGGCAGCACGCACCTCTAGTCCTAGCTACTCAGGAGGCTGAGGCAGAAGAATCCCTTGAACCTGGGAGGAGAGGTTGCAGTGAGCTGAGATCACGCCACTGCACTCCAGCCTGGCGACAGAGCAAAAGCAGAGCAATTGAGACTCTGTCTCAAAAAAAAAAAAAAAAATTTAGTTTAATCCATGCAAAAGATGATAAAGGCCTCAAAAAGATGTTGTCTACAGAACTTAGTTACCAAGCAATTATAAAAAGTGAGAGAAAAGAAAGTTAACAATTATCTACTGATTTCTACATGGCAGTGAGGGTAATACTGAGGCTTGTAATGGAAATAAGTATTGAAAGAAGAAAAGAATGAGCAGAGACTATCCTTAGTGTAGTTGGGGCCATACTGTTTTTTGAAATGCCTGTAGGGTATCCAGGTGGAGATGTCCAGCATGATTTTGGAAATACAGAACTGAGCTTAGGAGTAACTAAGGGTGAGAGGGACACGAAGAGAGATGAGATGAGGAGTTACACGTAAAGGCCATAGTAAAGCGCTGAAAATAGATGTGGTTTTCTTTCTTCTCTTCTTTTCACTTTTCTTTCTCATCTATAGAAAAGAAGGCTGTTGGCCCCAGGAAGCCTCAGCACAGGATGAAGAAAATAGAGCAGGAAAAGACATCAAGCAGCCAGAAGGATATGAGGAAAAACAGAAGAAATGCTGTTAGAGGCTAAGACAGGAAAATGTTTCAAGAAGAGAAGGGCCAGCCATGTCAAATAGGTCTAGGATTTGACAATTAATTGGTGTAATGAAAACTAAGAAACTAGATTCAGTAGTGGTGTAAACAAAAGTCAGATTATGGTGAGGGGAGAGAGTGAGGAAGGCAAATGCTGAATTTTTTAAAAGTTTAATTATAAAGGGAAGGAAAGATAGGGGGTAGAAGGAGGTGAGGTATAAGCAGGGTAGCTTGCATAAGTGACAAAGAAAATGTTTTTATTGTCTATTCTTAAGTATGTAGGAGTATTAAACATGTTTGAAGGCCAAGAGGAAAAAACAAGTTCAGAAGAGGACTTGAAAGTATGAGAAGAAACATTCTATTAATGGAGAAAGGCCTCAGAGGCTGTGTCAGGGAAATAGGATATAGTATAGGTAGAGAATTAGCTTTGGAAGAAAGAAGTAGGACCACTTCTGAAACCAGGAGGATCAGGTGAAAATTTAGAGAAGTTTAGTGGTGTGGGGGAGGAAAGTTGAAATTGTTCACTGGATCATTTGAGCAGGCTTCTGTTTTCTCACTGACATAGAAGGAAATAAGAACAAAACTAAGGACTTGAGATGAATGGTGAAGGTTTAGAACAGAAGACGGTTAGATAAGACTGAATATTTGCAGGATAGCAAGAGGATGTTAGCAGTTACAGTGGCATTGGATGTCCATTTGCAGTGAGTGACTGGGAGTGTCAAGTTGAGAAGGGAGAGAGAAAACTGGAAGCACTCAAACACTGAAAGAATGGGGTGGCCAGGCACAGTGGCTTACGCCTGTAATCCCAGCACTTTGGGAGGCAAAGGCGGGTGGATCACAAGGTCAAGAAATCGAGACCATCCTGGCCAATGTGGTGAAACCCCATCTCTACTAAAAATACAAAAATTAACTGGGCATGGCGGCACACATTTGTAGTCCCAGCTACTTGCGAGGCTGAGGCAGGAGAATCACTTGAACCCAGGAGGCGGAGGTTGCAGTGAGCCGAGATCACGCCACTGCACTCCAGCCTGGCGACAAAACGAGACTCTGTCTCAAAAAAGAAAAAAACAATTGCTAAGAGAAATGCCAACGCTTACATAAGGCGCTTACCCATGACATAAACCAAGCAAACTGCTGTATGAGCACATTCACCAGGGGAGAAGGTGGCCAACCCACCCATCCATCATCCTTCTGCTAGTGCCTGGAGAAGGCAGCAGGGAGCATAGCATGTTTCTTTTTTAGTGAGACCCAATAATTAGGGTCATGTTTGCTTGAACACATTCTTTTGGATAATTGGATAAAGATGTATTAGGTGCCAACGTATTTCCTGCATTCTTCAAGGTGAGAGTTGTATTGGTACTGATCCTTCTTGACCTCCTTTTGGACAAGTCAGGTTTAAAAAGAGAACAACCCACCCCCTTCAGTGATTCTCTCAGTATTTTATGCTTAAAAATGATCCGGAAGCATGTTAAATGGTTTTGGTCTTACTATTCACAGTGTTCAAGAACAAATCTTGGAATTTTTGTTACTCAGGAGGCCCATGATTAACCAGAAGGGTCCTTAAATAGTACTAAGACAAGAAATGTTTGGTGCTGGCCAGTCCTGCTCTCAACATATTGAAGGCAGATATTAAGAGTTGTTGCTACTTTCCTTTCAGAAAATACAAAGGCAAGAATTGAAATCAGGTTTTCAGAAGAGAATATAAAATGAGGGTCTAATGCACTTACATGGGTCTAATACGTTACAAAAATATATATGTCATTGCC
This sequence comes from Homo sapiens, assembly GCF_000001405.40. Lineage (NCBI taxonomy): Eukaryota > Metazoa > Chordata > Mammalia > Primates > Hominidae > Homo > Homo sapiens. The sequence continues at coordinate 77,685,930 of NC_000014.9, read as the reverse complement.
CCCAAAATGGCATAGACACTCAAAGATCACAATTTTTCTTTTTGTTATGAGGACTGAACTTAATGCTTTTCAATGTAAGACTCGACTCTGGCTTGTTTTACATCCCTGGACCAGTCATCCTCTATAATATAACGCAAAAACTCAAAGCCTTTTTTTCCCCCCCGAGACAGGGTCTCACTCTATTGCCCAGGCTGGAGTGCAGTGGCACAATCTTGGTCTACTGCAACCTTCTCCTCCCAGGCTCCTGCCTCAGCCTCCCGAGTAGCTGGGACTACAGGCGTGCACCACCATGCCTGGCTAATTTTTTGTATTTTTAGTAGAGACGAGGTTTCACCATGTTGCCCAGGCTGGTTCTCCAACTTCTGAGCTAAGGCAATCTGCCCACCTCGGCCTCCCGAAGTGCTAGGATTACAAGCGTGAGCCACCACGCCCAGCTCAAAGCCTTTCTTTTAATCATACAGTTAGAGTCCTTGTTTTTTTTTGTGTTTTTTTTTAAGACGGAGTCTCACTCTGTCGCCCAGGCTGGAGTGCAGTGGCATGATCTTGGCCCACTGCAACCTTCTGGGTTCAAGCGATTCTTGTACCTCAGCTTCCTGAGTAGCTGGAATTACAGGCACCCACCACCATGCCTGGCTAGTTTTTGGTTTTTTAGTAGAGACAGTGTTCCACCATGTTGGCCAGGCTGGTCTTGAACTCCTAGCCTTAAGAGATCCGCCCATCTCAGCCTCCCAAAGTGCTGGGATTGCAGGCGTGAGCCACCGCTCCCAGTGAGAGATGTTATTTTGGCTTCTTAGGAAAGGAACTAAATTAGAAAAGGTATATTACAGGATGATTCTATTCATGCTGTCACTATAATTTTGATAATTTTTATTGTTAATAACATAAACCTGTGTTTATAAAATGTATTCTCTGTTCTTGAATATTAGACTAAATCTTTTGGTGGAAAAGCAGTTTGTTGCGGCCATATCAAATGTCTAAAATACTGTCACCTTTTGAATTATTTCCAAAGCAGCATTATTGTTATGTTTATTGTTTCAGATCAGTCTGACATTGATATAATAGTATGGATTCTTCATAAAATGAGGCTGGGCATGGTGGCTCATGTCTGTAGTACCGATACTTTGGGAGGCCAACGCAGAAGGATTGATTGAAGCTAGAAGTTCAAGACCCACCTGGGCAACATAGAGAGACCCCGTCTCTACAAAAAAATTAAAAATTAGCCAGGCATGGTAGCACACACCTGTAGTTCTAGCTACTCAAGAGGCTGAGGTGGGGAGGATTACTTGAGCCTGCAGCAAGCTGTGACTGTTAGGAGGCTGAGGCAGGTGGATCACCTGAGGTCCAGAATTCGAAACCAGCCTGGCCAACATGGTGAAACCTCATCTCTACTAAAAATACAAAATTAGCCGGGCGTGGTGGTGCATGCCTGTAATCCAAGCTCCTTGGGAGGCTGAGGCAGGAGAATCACATGAACCTGGGAGGCGGAGGTTGCAGTGAGCCAAGATCGCACCATTGCACTCCAGCTTGGGCAACAAAAGCAAAACTCCGTCTAAAAAAAAAAAGAAAAAGAATAAAGCAATCTGTTATTGAGCTAGAAAGAAACAGACGGTATTGTGTTTTGTTTTTTAGTTTGGGCTAGAATAGTGGTTTTCAAAGTGTAATTCCTGGACCAGCAGCATAAGTATCATTTGGGAACTTACTAGAAATGCAGTTCTTAGGCCCCCACCCTAGACCTGCTGAATAAGAATTTATAGGCCTGGACCCAGCCATGTGAGTTTCAACAAGCCTTCTAGATGATTCTGATGTACACTAAAGTTTGAGAAACACTCGGCAAAAATTAAGTGGGTTCTGTAATTAAGACAGGTTCTGTAAAGGCTTTCAGTAGAGCTCTTAAGACTGCGCTTTTCAGCTGGAACTGCCATCTTCCAGTAATTTGCGAAAATGACGAAGACAAAGGGAAAGAGGAGAAGTACCTGATAGATGTTTTCTAGGCCTTTTAGAAAACGGAGTTTTTCCTTTGGCCATGTATATGCGCATCTGTAAGAGGGATGATATTGTCAGCTGGACGCAGTGGCACATGCCTGTAATCCCAGCACTTTGGGAGGCTGAGGCGTTTGGATCACCTGAGGTCAGCAGTTCAAGACCAGCTTGGGCAACATGGGGAAACCCTGTCTCTACTAAAAATACAAAAATTAGCCAGGCGTGGTGGTGCATGCCTGTAATTCTAGCTACTTGGGAGGCTGAGGCAGGAGAATCGCTGGAACTTGGGAGGTGGAGGCTGCGGTGAGCCGAGATTGCACCACTGCACTCCAGCCTAGGTGACAGAGCAAGACTGCATCTCAAAAAAAAAGGAGGATGATGTTGTCGACATTAAGGGAATGGGAATGGGTACTGTTCAAAAAGGAATGGCCCATAAATGTTGCCATGGCAAAACTGGAAGAGTCTACAGTGTTCCCCAGCATGCTGTTAGCATTGTTGTGAACAAGTAAGTTAAGGGCAAGACTCTTGCCAAGAGAATTAATGTGCGCATTGAGCACATTAAGCACTCTAAGAGCCGAGATAGCTTCCTGAAACGTGTAGTAAAATGATCAGAAAAAGAACCCAAAGAGAAAGGTACCTGAGTTCAACTGAAGTGCCAGCCTGCCCCACCCAGAGAAGCACACTTTGTGAGAACAAATGGGAAGGAGCCTGAGCTGCTGGAACCTATTCTCTATGGATTCATAGCATAATAGGTGTTAAAATACCCCTGGACTGTTTGTAAAAAAAAAAAAAAAAAAAAAAGACTTTACAGCTTGGTGTGATGCCTCACTTAGCACTCTGGGAGGTCAGGGCGGAAGGATTGCTTGAGGTAAGGAGTTCAAGATCATCCTGGACAACATGGTGAGACTACATCTCTATATTTTTCTTTTTTGTTTTAATTAAACAATAAAAATAGGCCAGGTGCAGTGGTTCACGCCTGTAATCCCAGCACTTTGGGAGGCCGAGGCGGGTGGACCACCTGAGGTCAGGAGTTCAAGATGAGTCTAGCCAACATGGTGAAACCCCATCTCTACAAAAAATACAAAAATTAGCCAGGCGTGGTGGTGCATTCTGTAATCACAGCTACTTGGGTGGCTGAGGCAGGAGAATCACTTCAACCTGGGAGGCGGAGGTTGCAGTGAGCCAAGATCGTGCCATTGCCCTCCAGCCTGGGTGACAAAATGAGACACAGTCTCCAAAAAATAAAATTTTTGAGAAGACTCTTTGCCATTTAGATACTCAGGGTGCCATCTATTTTGAGTTCTAGATTCCAGTCTTAGATGACCAACTTCTTTCATCTTTTACTACCACTTCTACCATCTCTCTTTTCCCCCTCCTCAAAAACGCATAGCTTCAATATTCATAAGATCATCATCATCATCCTTTTCTTCAACAGCATTTTCTTGTATCCTAGAGATTACCTTAAAATAAGGAATTGGCTACAAAGTAATACCTTGGAAAGAGAAATAGAATGGATCACCTCTATAAGGTGCTTATGTAACTCTGGAACTACGTTTATATTTCCATTAACCACAAAGTCCACATGAGTCATACTTATTTTTCTGTCTCAGGCTACTAAAATAGAACATGTTCTCTAGAGGAGAACATCAAGGAGTTCTTTTATTTGTACCTTTAGCTGAATAAACATTGGTAGACCTCAAGTTGTGTTAATAACTACATTACATTTTTTTCATATTTCAGTTTTTATGCACAAAAATAATGTGTGGTTGTTATCCATATTGTAATTGTTCAAATCAGCTAGTTGCTGTCAGTGGCCAAGCCTTATATTTTTCCCTAAATTATTAGTTATCTGTCTCCTGTTGTGTCAGGGAGTCCCCAAAACCACACCCAAATTTGATGATTCGCCAGGAAGACTCAGGACTCAGCAGATGGTTGCACTTACAGATTTATCACAGTGAAAGCATACAAAGCAAGATCAGCAAAGGGAAAAGGCACCTGGAGCAAAGTCCAGGAAAAACCAGGTGCATGCCTCCAAAAGTCCTCTCCCAAGGAAGTCACACCGGATATGGCAATGGGTTGTGACAAAATCTGTGAAATGTTTACCAAAGAAACTCAGTGCCTAGGTTTTTACTAGGAGCTTGTCATGTAGGCAGCCTCTGCCTGACACATGCCAAAATCACAGACTCCCAGAAGCAAAGCAGGTGTTGACCATAAACCATATTGTTTGCACAGTTTAGGTGCAGTAAGCCACTCTTAACACTTCCAGAGAATTGTGTGAACCTTGCCAAGGACCATCTTTGTAAGCAGACCATCAGTCAAGTCTGCTATGTCTCTTCTGCACACCTGTCCTAAATAAATCAGTGTGTGTTCATTTCTTTTTATCTGCTGGTCTTGATGTATGTATGTGTCATGATGTCTTTCTTAGAATGTAAACTCTGTGAGGACAGATAGCATCTATTCTGTAAACTCTTCGTCAAACATCAAGATGAGTGCCACTGAACAGTGTGGGTCTCAATAAATCCTTTGCTTTTGCTTGTGCTGTGTGCCCATATTGCCTACTGCATCACTCCCTATTTAAATGCTGCCCATTCTTCAGTGCCGTGCTCAACTCCCAACTCTGCCAAGAAGCCCCAACTGATTCGACAGCTGACTTTGAGCTCTCCTTTTTCTTAATTCTCGTGCCCCTCAAAGTCTGCTGTTTACTTTAGTACTAGACTTTATACTGCGTTCAGTTTCCCTCTAATTTCTCCTTAGACTTTCTATTACATTTGCCATTTCCTGTCACAATCAGATTCCTTAAAGGAATCTGATTTTTTCTTTTTTACACAGCCATAGTTTTGGACAAAAAAATTTTTGATTGATCAATGATGTAAATAACAGAGAAAAATTAAATCATTAGACCTACCATTCTCATATTTTTAGATATTTGGAGGTGAGCCAAACAAACAAGCTTCCTTTTTAGAAAAAGAGTAGTGGGCCAGTTGTGGTGGCTCACGCCTGTAATCCCAGCATTTTGGGAGGCCGAGGCAGGCGGATCACCTGAGGTCAGGAGTTCGAGACCAGCCTCAATATGGAGAAACTCCGTCTCTACTAAAAATACAAAATTAGCTGGGCGTAGTGGTGCATGCCTGTAATCCCAGCTACTTGGGAGGCTGAGGCAGGAGAATTGCTTGAACCTGGGAGGCGGAGGCTGTGGTGAGCCAAGATCGCGCCATTGCACTCCAGCCTGGGCAACAAGAGCGAAACTCTGTCTCAAAAAAAAAAAAAAAAAAAGAGTAGTTAATCACATAGATTTGATCAGATGAGATGTAATTGCAGAAAGAGCACGTCTCGGTTGTACAGAAACCTCCTGTGGTTTGAACAAGGGTATGTCAGAAACCAAATCAGTTACAGTGGTGCCTTAATTGTTAGCTAAGCCTCAGTTATCTAAGCTATGTTATACAGAGTTAAAGAAGTCATGTTAAACCAGTTATTTTTTATTGTACTATACACTATATTTTGCTAAACTTTTTTTTTCCCCAACCTGCAATTCTGGGAAGCCACCCTCATTATAGACATAGAAATCATTGTGATTAACTGTACCCTGCTTTTAGCAAACCAAACTGAAAATGTTCTGTAAGTCAAATTTTTGATTGCCCATAGTGCTCTTGGTACCATTTCCCATGGACAGGTAAAGACATTTCTCTTGTCATTGTTGTCATTCTTATTTTATCATTACCAAGATGCTGGAGGCTTGTGATTTAAAGTTGACCCCATTCAGCAGAGGATTTAGAACAAAGGATTATAAATTAGAAGTGCTAACATGTTTTTCTCTGTTAATGTATCTGTGGTCTACTCATTTATCTCTTCTAATTTCTCCTACTGAGTCTTGGCTAACGGCTTATACCATGTAATACTAAATTTTAACTCCAGAGTCCATACAAACGGCTATTGCTGCCATTTTACATGAATAATTCCTCTTTTGTCACCAATCTTTGCAGGTATAAAGAAGCGACTAAACGGAGACCCCGAAGTTTACTGGAGAAACTGCGTTGGGTGACCGTAGGCTACCATTATAACTGGGACAGTAAGGTATTCAGGTTTTCTTAATTCTTTTGTTTTCTGTTTATAGGCTTCTTTAGCCCACATAGTTGTATTTCTTCCTAACCACGCTTAAGATATCAAGATTATACATTTGTGGGAGGATCCCTTTCTTTTATTTCCTTAAAAAATCTCAACTGGGCCAGGTGCCGTGGCTCACATCTGTAATCCCAGCACTTTGGGAGGCTGAGGTGGGCGGATCACTTAAGGTCAGGAGTTTGCTGCCAGCCTGGGCAACGTGGCACAACCCTGTCTTTACAAAAAATACAAAAGTTTGCCGGGCCTGGTGGCACATGCCTGCAGTCCCAGCTACTCAAGAGGCTGAGGTGAGAGGATTACTTGGACCCAGGAGGTGGAGGTTGCAGTGAGCCAAGATCGCACCACTGCACTCCAGCCTGGGTGACAGAGCAAGACTCTGTCTCAGAAAAGAAAAAAAAAATCTCTCCTCAGGTATCTCAAGAGGAATGAATTTTATTATATCAGAAGTCACCAGTGCTTTCTCACAGTAGGTTCCAGGAATATAGAACTCTTTTCAAGAGCAGTTCTCACCATCTTTATTTCCATTATTAGTGAGAGTTTGTTGAGCATATATTTTTCTTTTTCTTTTTCTTTTTTTTAATTTTTATTGTGCAACAAAAGCCACATTCAAGAGCACTTATTTTTCTATGTAATATCTGCCTGGAGTAAAAGAAGCTCCATGTATTTCAATTGTTCATTCGTCAACTCACAAAAGAACTTTCAACATATGGATACCGATCACACGCGGTGGCTCACTCCTGTAATCCAAGCACTTTGGGTGGCTGAGGTGGGAAGATCGCTTGAGCTCAGGAGTTCCAGAGCAGCCTGGGGCAACATAGTGAAACCCCATCTCTACAAAAAATAGAAAAATTAGCCAGATGTGGTGGTGCATGCCTGTGGTTCCAGCTACTCAGGAGGCTGGGGAGGGAGGATCGCTTGAGCCTGGGAGGCAGAGGTTGCAGTGAGCCAAGATCGCACCACTGCAGTCCAACTGGGTGATAGAACAAGATCTTGTCTCAAAAAAAAAAGATATTTGCCTGCTCTATAATGACTAGGAAGGAGGGAGGTGGGAAAGAATTTCCTACAGTTGACAGTTTCGTGTTTTCTTGAGCTACGATTTCTTCTTTCCTATCCTCTATGCTTTAGAAGATGCCTTGTAACTAGCAGTGCAGTGCCTCTTGTCTCAATTAGACATTTGCCACCAAGGGAGTATACTGATTATAAGAATAAAATGAAAAAAAAATATTGGTATAGACCATTTTCTTTGCCTACTAACCAGTTACTTTGTCTGTTTTTTTTTTTTTTTTGTAATGGTCTTACACTGTCACCTAGGCTGGAGTGCAGTGGCACAATCACTATAGCCTCGACCTCCCCAGACTCAGGTGATCCTCACACCTCAGCCTCACAGTAACTAGTTACTTTCTAAAAGCTCCACAGTTTCAGCCAACCCAACTTAGATACATTAACTGCTCCAAATGATGACAGATTTGTTTTAAAAATATTTGTGATATAATTCTGACTTTCAGCAATACAGACTCAGTAGGAAACTAGATATTTTTTGAGGGGAAATGCCATGTGATTTTCTTTGGATTAGACAGCCTGAGTTTGAATCCTTCCTCCGGTAATGATAGTGCCTACCTCATAAGGCAGTTGTGAAAATTAAGTGATCAGTGCCTGTAAAGTGATCTCAATGGTGTCTGGCTATTCTAAGCAGTTAAATGCATTATCACAATAAATGTTAGCTTTTTTTTTTTTTTTTTTTTTTGGTGATAATATTTTTACTGTTGATATTGTTATTCCCCAAGACCTCAAAGTTAACCTCATTGACTAAGAAAAATAGGGAGTAAAAATGACCAAAAACTGAATGAGTAGTCAGAGAAAAGTGAAAGAGAACTTTAAAAGAAAAAGTAGTGAGTAATGCAGAGACAGTTTGGACAGGGTTGAAAGCCCAAAAGGGTGATTATTTCATTATAGCAGAGGCTATCTACAGCTAGAATGACAGCCTTGACTGTTTGATTATCTGAGGGACTAAAGCTTAAAATGATAGAGGAAAACTTAAAGTTCTTTAATCACACTTTGAGTTTTGAGAAATTGAATAGGAACTCTTCTAATTTACAGTTCAGTAAAAGGAGAAAAAATGAAAAACAGAAAAGTTCCAACTGAAGAGACCAGGCCATTCATCAAGAGTCTTCCTTACACCTGAAGTTAAAGGTCGCTTCTGGCCAAAGTAAATACTTGCTGTCCAGACCTATGACTGCTGCTTCAGCTAGAATATATTCAGACGCTAGTAGAGATATGAGACAAAAGTAGATTTTCTGATCAGATTTGAGGTTAATTTAGCAAAGAAAGAAGTGAGAGCAGAGGAGCATCAAGACAAAAGAAGAGTCTGTCAGGTACATATAGCCCAAATAGCCCTCAGATTCATCCATATAGGAACCTGTAAGTGAAAGTCTTAATCATAACTGCAGCCATGTCACTCATGCAGAAAGATGTTATAGAGAGTATTATGGCCAGGCCAGGCATGGTGGCTCACACCTGTACTCCCAGCACTTTGGGAGGCCGAGGCAGGCAGTTCACTTGAGGTCAGAAGTTCAAGACCACCCTGGCCAACATGGTGAAACCCTGTTCCTACTAAAAATACAAAAATTAGCCAGGCATGGTGGCAGGCACCTGTAATCCTAGCTGCTCAGGAGGCTGAGGCAAGAGAATCACTTGAATCTGGGAGGCAGAGGTTGCAGTGAGCAGAGATCGTACCACTGCACTCCAGCCTGGGTGACAGAACGAGACTCAGTCTCAAAAAAAAAAAAGAGTATTATGGCCTTTGATATATTTTTTTTTAACTGGAAAAAGATATTTGTGATCCTTAGGTGTAAAAAACAGAGACAGCCCAGGGAAGTAAGTTCAGGAAATTACTTCCAATTTAAAGGCCTATCTTGGCCATGCTATAAATGAGAGTTAGTTCCGATGTTTTGAGCATGTCATCCCATCAGATTGACCAGTCAAATTGCCACTAAGCCATGTTGCAAGCTGAGAGGTCCAAAACCAAACTGGCTATAGTATTTGAGTTGCCTTTTTATAAATTAACTTTTTAGTTTAGGATAGTTTTAGATTTGCAGAAAAGTTGAGAAGATAGTACAGAGAGAGCTCGTGCTCTCCCCCTATTATTAACATTTTACCTTAGTATGGTACCTTTGTCTCAAATAGTTAACCAATAGTAATACATTACTGTAATAGCATTTGTACTTCATTTAGATTTCCTTAGTTTTTAACTAATATCTTTGTTCTTATATCTAATTTTCTAATATCCAGGATCTTATCCAGGATACTACATTATATTTAGTCCTTGTGTTTCCTTGGGCACCTGTTGGCAATGACGGTTTTGAGTTGCATTTTTACCCTAATAGAACTGTCTCATTTACAGATAGAGTATACTAACTAGAGGGTGGTGGAGTAATTGCTTCATGTATAGACTCAATGCAGTATATAGCACAGTGCCTGTTATATAACAGGTACTTGGGTTTTTGAATGATTCATTATTAGATCATTAGATACCCCAAGAATGGATGGATAGACCGGGCACAGTGGCTCATGTCTGTAATCACAACGCTTTGGGAGACTGAGGCAGGAGGATCATTTGAGACCAGTCTAGGCAACATAGTGAGACCCCATCTCTGCCAAAAAAAAAAAAAATTAGCCAGGCATGGTGGCACGCACCTGTGGTCCTACCTACTTGGGAGACTAAGGTAGGAGGATCACTGAGCCCAGGAGGTCTAGGCTACAGTGAGCCATGATCACACCACTGGACTTTAGCCTGGGCAACAGATTGAGGCCCTGTCTTTAAAAAAAAAAAAAAAGAAAAGAAAAGAATGGATAGATAATGCTGTGTTAATATGTTAATATGACTTTGTAAGTAAGATTATTTTAAAGTGGTAATTAATCTTATAGTTTCCTGTATTCCTGAGATCATTGTTTATTTTTCTTATTCTCTCTACATTTACCAAAGAAATACTCAGCAGATCATTACACACCTTTCCCTTCTGACCTGGGTTTCCTCTCAGAGCAAGTAGCCGCTGCCTGTGGATTTGAGGATTTCCGAGCTGAAGCAGGGATCCTGAATTACTACCGCCTGGACTCCACACTGGGAATCCACGTAGACAGATCTGAGCTAGATCACTCCAAACCCTTGCTGTCATTCAGGTGAGTTAGTTCCAGGGATTTGGGATTACTTTTTATCATTTAATTCTTTTTTCTAAGACATTTTACTCTAAAATAAATACAGGTATTTAACTTTAAAAAAGTGGTTGGACTCTATAATCTTCCACTTCTGGGAATTTTAATAAATTATAGTTAGTATCTCTGTTTAAGACACATGGAGCCTACCTTTTATTTTATTTTTATTTTTTATTATTGTTTTTTTTTGAAACAGAGTCTCGCTCTGTCACCCAGGCTGGAATACAGTGGCTTGATCTCAGCTCACTTCAACCTCCGCCTCCCAGTTTCAAGTGATTCTCCTGCCTTAGCCTCCTGAGTAGCTGGAACTACAGGTGCACACCGCCACACCCAGCTAATTTTTTTTTTTTTTAGTAGAGATGGGGTTTCATCGTGTTGCCCAGGCTGGTCATGAACTCCTGAGCTCAGGCAATCCGCCCACTTCGGCCTCCCGAAGTGCTGAGATTACAGGCATGAGCCACTGCACCTGGCCGTAACCTACCTTTTATAATGAAAGGTATTGTCAGTGCTCTGTGGAATAGACAAGTGGAAAGCCATAAAAGCAAAGCGAGTGACCTTTGGTATAGAAGAGCAAACTATAGAGCAAAGCACAAAAGCCTGAGTAGTTTACTCTCCTTGTCTCCCTAAAAGTAAGTTTAAATTTGTGCCAAGTTTTGCACCTGCATCTCGGGAAAGTGCCTTTTATTAATTGCCTTATCTTTAAAATGAGGAAAGGTAAACATAGTAAAGAACTCAAATGATTTTATTGAAAGACTCAAAGACACATCAATAGGCTGGGCATGATGGCTTACACCTATAATCCCAGTACTTTGGGAGGCCGAGGCCAGTGGATCACTTGAGTTCAGGAGTTTGAGACCAGCCTGGCCAACACGGTAAAACCCCATCTCTACTAAGATACAAAAATTAGTCGGGTGTGGTGGCACACGCCTGTAATCCCTGCTACTCTGGAGGCTGAGGCACAAGAATCACTTGAACCCAGGAGGCTGAGGTTGCAGTGAGCCGAGATCGCGCCGCTGCACTCCAGCCACTCCAGCCTGGGTGACGAAATAAGGCTCTGTCTTTAAAAAAAAAACCATCAATAAAACTTAAATGGATAACATTAAAGCTAAGTTCTCCATTTGCTTATTTAACTGCATCCAATTTTATTTTGCAGCAGTTCTGTGGGCTGTCATAACTATAGGTAGAAGGTCATGAGTTGGTCACTCATAGACACAAACCAGAAGAGAAGGATCTTAGCACAGTTTAAAAAGGAGGATTTGGGAGCAATAAATATCAACCTGAAATTACAAAATAACACAGTTGGCAGTAACTTTCCCAGTCATAGTTAATAAACAAAATTTATACTTTTTTATTGTTGTGTGTTTTTACTTATTTTTTGTAGCTTTGGACAGTCCGCCATCTTTCTCCTGGGTGGTCTTCAAAGGGATGAGGCCCCCACGGCCATGTTTATGCACAGTGGTGACATCATGATAATGTCGGGTTTCAGCCGCCTCTTGAACCACGCAGTCCCTCGTGTCCTTCCAAATCCAGAAGGGGAAGGCCTGCCTCACTGCCTAGAGGCACCTCTCCCTGCTGTCCTCCCGAGAGATTCAATGGTAGAGCCTTGTTCTATGGAGGACTGGCAGGTGTGTGCCAGCTACTTGAAGACCGCTCGTGTTAACATGACTGTCCGACAGGTCCTGGCCACAGACCAGAATTTCCCTCTAGAACCCATCGAGGATGAAAAAAGAGACATCAGTACAGAAGGTTTCTGCCATCTGGATGACCAGAATAGCGAAGTAAAACGGGCCAGGATAAACCCTGACAGCTGAGACTTGGAGATCCCATCCTTTTTACTCAGGCACCTGCTTACCGTAAATGATCATGTTATTGTGTATTGCCGTGGACTTCAGCACCCAGACAAGCCAAAAACAGAGACAGGGAAGAACTCATTGTTGATCACACTGTTGCCTTGGAACCCACGCAGAAGTAAACTCAGCCACTTTGCTCAGAGAAGTGTTTGACATGGTCTGTTCCTAGTTACATGTTGGCTGTAATGTATGTTGAGAAGTCAGTCCAAGGAGGTATGTTCTTCCACAACAGCCTTCTCAGCCTCTGCTATTTCCTTTGAGGAAGGTAGAAGTGAGTTTCCATGTTTGCAGAGTATTTAAATACCTCAGATTTTATTAATGAGAAATACAGTACCCCTCCCTCCACTCCATCTGGTAATTTATGGTAAAATTGTGGTTCTGTGAACCAGCTATTAGTCTCATCTTCTTAACTCCCTCAGGCATCATCAAATTCTTTGATCTTCTCTTCCACCTCTCTGGCTCTCATGGAAGAATCCTTTACACATGAAAACAATGGAACTGGAAAATCTTGTCTTTTAGAAAAGAAATTAATCACAACTATCTCTCTTGCCTAAAAGATAAATATAGGTAAACCCAAGGAAAGGGGAATTTAGTTTCTCTACATGTCATTTCGGTCTCCAAACTCCCTGTTGGCTTTTTAATGCAATTTTAATTGTTGGAATAAAAAAGTCCCAAGGGTGTTTTGTTACTGTTTTCTCCATGAATAAACTCACTTGATTTTAAATTAAAGATCTATATCTGTCTTTGGGGTTTAGTCTATCTGGGATTAAGGTTTTTTTTTCTGTTTTTCTTTGCTGTATTGTTCATGCTATTGAAGCCCTCTAGCTGTTTCTGCCCTACACCATTCTGCTGTGCCCTAAGTATTCTTTGTGGCTGTCTCACAGAAGAGAGAACATTTCTTAATATTCCAGTCACTGCTGTTATTGTCTGAGGGTAGGCAGCTTGGAAAAATGTAGGCAACACCAAGTTTTAATCTTTATACCCCCAACAATTTGACTGACTATATCATGGTCCAGGTTACTTTACATTTCTCTGGACCTCGGTTTCCTCATCATAAAATGAAGATACTGTAGACTACCATCTTCCTAAAGGGATATTGGTATTTGAAAGAGAATTAAGTGCTCCTTTCTACAAACATGATGTGCCAAAATTGTTTTATTATAAGGGCTCTTTGAAACATCCTAACTTCCTTGTGTGGAGGACTGGCTGGAAGCCCATTTGGTACCTACTGTTTGCAATGCATGTTATTAAGTTTACATGTCTCCTCTGTCCTGCTCTGCCCCTTTTTTAAATTACTGGCATTGAATATTGAGTTCATATGGTAATAGCAGGGTTTTTAAATGAATAAAAATTATGGATTTATCTCTTATGTGTAAGCTAGGTTCTTTGTTTTTTGTTTTTTGTTTTTTTTGAGTCAGAGTTTCACACTTGTTGCCCAGGCTGGAGTGCAATGGCACAAGCTCAGCTCACTGCAACCTCCACCTCCCGGGTTCAAGCGATTCTCCTGCCTCAGCCTCCTGAGTAGCTGGCATTACAGGCATGCGCCACCATGCCTGGCTAATTTTGTATTTTTAGTAGAGATGGGGTTTCTCCATGTTGGTCAGGCTGGTCTTGAACTCCTGATCTCAGGTGATCGGCCCGCCTTGGCCTCCCAAAGTGCTGGGATTACAGGCATGAGCCACTGCACCCAGCTTAGGTCCTAAAATTAATACATAGGAAATCTTTATATAATTAAATAATACCACTGGATAAGATTACCACTGTTAACCTTAAATTTTCTACAATGTATGTTAAATGTGACCTACAGAAACCAACGTACTGTCATTTAGTAAATCCAACAGAGACAGTCTAGCATTAAGACAGATTATTCTTTCTTCACTTGTGTGTCAGATAAAGGCATTGGTTTGTGTATGGGAACCATGTTGTACAAAAAACACATAACTAAATTGTAGACTCACTCCATGAAGTGAGATGTTTATGCTATGAGAAGCAGGTAGAAACAGGCCAGCCAAGAGAATAGCACATTCCTGTCTCCTGGGATGGTGAACAGATCATTCGTACAATTAAATATTCACGCTCTCTCTCTCCCCGACCCCATCTCCTCCCTCTAGCCCTCCCCACTTTCTCTGGCTCGCTCTCTACTTTTATTTATATATTTTTATGAAGCACATATAATTGAAGATGTATATAATGTAACTCAGTCGGGCGTGGTGGCAGGTGCCTGTAGTCCCAGCTACTCAGGAGGCTGAGGCAGGAGAATGGCGTGAACCCGGAGGCAGAGCTTGCAGTGAGCCGAGATCGCGCCACTGCACTCCAGCCTGGGCGACAGAGCGAGACTCCGTCTCAAAAAAAAAAAAAAAAAAAAAGAGTAGGCCAGGCACAGTGGCTCATGTTTGTAATCCCAGCACTTTGGCAGGCTAAAACGGGAGGATCACTTGAGCCCAGAAGTTCAAGGTTACAGTGAGTTACGATTGTGCTACTGCACTCCAGCCTGGGCAACAGCAAAAACCTGCCTCTAAAAACAGGGCTGGGCGCTGTGGCTCATGCCTGTAATCCCAGCACTTTAGGAGGCCAAGGCAGGTGGATCACCTGAGGTCAGGAGTTCGAGTCCGGCCTGACCAACATGGTGAAACCCAGTCTCTACTAAAAATACAAAATTGGCCGGGCGTGGGGTGGCTCACACCTGTAATCCCAGCACTTTGGGAGGCCGAAGTGGGTGGATCACTTGAGGTCAGGAGTTTGAGACCAGCCTGGCCAACATGGTAAAACCCCATCTCTACTAAAAATACAAAAATTAGCCAGGCATGGTGGCAGGCGCCTGCAATCCCAGTTACTCAGGAGGCTGGCGCAATAGAATCGCTTGAACCTGGGAGGCAGAGGTTGCAGTGAACTGAGATCGTGCCATTGCACTCCAGCCTGGGTGACAACAGCAAGACTTCATCTCAAAAAAAAAAAAATACATAATATTTAGCTGGGCGTGGTGGCGGGCGCCTGTAGTCCCTGCTACTTGGGAGGCTGAGGCAGGGGAATCATTTGAACCTGAGAGGCGGAGGTTGCAGTGAGCCAAGTCGTGCCATTGCATTCCAGCCTGGGCAACAAGAGCAAAACTCCGTCTCAAAAAAAAAAAAAAAACAAAAAGTAAAGTCACAGACGTTAGGCCCTGAGAAATTGGTTTTCTAATAATCTGTTAGTAGGGATGTAAATTGCTATAGCCCCTAAGGCACAATTTGGCATCATGTAATGTGTGACTTTTTATCCTACTTTGACCAGGGTAGTCCTGGATCTCCTTTTCCACCGAGAAGTGGTCTTTCATTCAATGATAATTTATGTGGTCATCCTAATAATGTTTTCAAATGTATACCCTTTGTCCCAGTAAATTTCACTTCTAGGAATTGAGTCTGTGGAAAGTAATCAGAGCTGTGCAGAAAGATTTTTGTGTGAGAATATTCATAGTAGAGAAAATATGAAATATACTCAAAATCCAGCAACAGGGAGTTAAATTCATGTACTTTTCAGCACGTGACTACTGAGCACTGTTCTTTGGCTGCACAAGTACTTTCCTTTGTGGAGCTTGTATACTGGATATGCCATAACCCTATGTAGCCTTTAAAGGCCATGTTTTACAAGAATAGTTAGAGATAAGGGGAAATGTTTATACTATATTTAGGTGAGAAATCCAATTATGAAACTGTCCATAGTAACCTAATTTTGTATAGAATGTTGACATTTTTATTTTATGTTTTTTTGTTCAGACCTCTCAGAGATGAAATGTTTACATATTTTTTTAAACTGGAATGATGTGAATACCAAAACATGAATGATGGTGGAATTACAGTTGATACTTATTTGTGCTTTTCTGTATTTCTGATTTTTAATTTTTTTTTCTCTTTCTGCGCACCCCCCTCTCCCCCTGCCCCATCTACTGGGCACCAGAGTTATTTGATTTTTTTGTTTGTTTTGTTTTTTTGAGACAGGGTCTGGCTCTGTTGCCCAGGCTGGAGTGCAGTGGTGCAATCATAGCTCACTGCAGCCTCAATCTCCTGGGCTCAAACAACCTTCCCACCTCAGCCTCCCAAGTACCTGGGACTACAGGCACCACCATGCCTGGCTAACTTTTCTAATATTTTTGTAATGACAGGATTTCACCATGTTTCCCAGGCTGGTCTTGAACTCCTGAGCTCAAGTGATCCACCTGCCTGAGCCTCCCAAAGCTCTGGGATTACAGGCATGAGCCACCGTGCCTGGCTTGTCTGATATTTTTGACATTAAAAATCTTTTTAAAACATTTTTTTAAGACCGGGCACAGTGGCTCATGCCTGTAATCCTAGCACTTTGGGAGGCCGAGGTGGGCAGATTGCCTGAGCTCAGGAGTTCAAGACCAGCCTGGCCAACATGGTGAAACCCCACCTCTACTAGAATACAAAATAATTAGCCAGTCATCATGGCACGTGCCTGTAGTCCCAGCTACTCGGGAGGCTGAGGCAGGAGAATCACTTGAACCTGGGAGGTGGAGGTTGCAGTGAGCAGAGATCACGCCCCTGCAGTCCACTCCAGCTTGGGTGACAGAGCGAGGCTACGTCTCAAAAAAAAAACTTTTTTTTTTTTGAGGCAGAGTTTTGCTCTTGTCGCCCAGGCTGGAGTGCAATAGCACAATCTCTGCACACTGCATCCTCTGCCTCCCGGGTTCAAGCAATTCTTCTGCCTCAGTCTCCCTAGTAGCTGGGACTACAGGCGCCCGCCAGCACACCTGGCTAATTTTTGTATTTTTAGTAGAGACAGGGTTTCACCATGTTGGGCAGGCTGGTCTTGAACTCCTGACCTTGTGATCCACCCACCTCGGCCTCTCAAAGTGCTGGGATTACAGGCGTGAGCCACTGCGCCCAGCCAAAAAAAAAAAAAAAACTTTTTTTTTTTTGAGACGGAGTGCACTCCAGGCTGGAGTGCAGTGGCGCAATCTCGGCTCACTGCAACCTCCGCTTCCCGGGTTCAAGTGATTCTCCTGCCTCAGCCTCCTGAGTAGCTGGGACTACAGGCACGTGCCATGATGCCTGGCTAATTATTTTGTTTTCTAGTAGAGATGGGGTTTCACCACGTTGGCCAGGCTGGAAGAGGAATTTTCTCTGCACTTCCTCTTATTTTAAAATATGTCTGGCTAAGGTGGATCCACTCACTACTCTCTGCTTATTATTTTGGTAGAGCCTCTTGCCTGTTGCTCTTTTTTTGCACCCCATGTCTGGTTTTTCCTGGAAGGGTGCCAAGGCCTCAGACATAGATGTCCTGCTGAACAGGACAGACTCAGTGAGACTTGGCTTTCCAGTGTTCTCATTTTTTCAGTTCTTTGGTCACTAAGATAAGCTGGTCTTACCCCATTTCTCTTTTCCCTTAATCTAAAATATTGGTTTATTAGAGTAAAAAAAAAAAAAAAAAGACCCTACCCTAGGTGGATCCAATAAGGCAAATTAGAATGGTAATGAGGCAGAAGGGAGCCCTTGGGGTGACTTGATCTCAACGTGATTGACAGGAGGACCTAGAAAGAAAGACACCTCACCTGTTTTCTGTTTCCAAGGTCACAGTAGAAGCAATGCAAATCTAATGCCTTAGGCTGAATGGTAAATTTCTACTGATTTTGATCAGCTACCTATACAAATTCGAGCCCTCCTGGAGATAGGTTTGTTGGCTCTAATTTTATTGGTAAGACAGACTTCTGGCCAGGCACAGTGGCTCATGCCTGTAATCTCAGCACCTTGGAAGTTCAAAGCAGGTGGATCACGAGGTCAGGAGTTCAAGACCAGTGTGGCCAAGATGGTGAAACCCCGTCTACACTGAAAATACAAAAATTAGCCAGGCATGGTGGCACACGCCTGTAATCCCAGCTACTCGGGAGGCTGAGGCAGGAGAATCGCTTGAACCCGGGAGGCAGAGATTGCAGTGAGCCGAGATCGGGCCACTGCACTCCAGCCTGGGCAACAAGAGCGAAACTCTGTCTTAAAAAAAAAAAAAAGACAAACTTCTTATTAAGATAAGATGGTACAGTAGATGGAAAATAACATTGAGTGGTTACCAGAAAAGCTAATTCTAGTAAAAATTCCAACACTTAGCTGTGTGACCTTGACTAAATCTTCAGCTGAGCCTCAGTGAACCTTTTTGGGCCCCAGTTATCTCATCTATAAGGAGCTTGCCAAGTAATTCTTGTGTTGCCTACCACTTCTGCAATACTATATTTCTAAAATGAGAAGTTAATCTTACAGAGGTTGGATAAACAGCAAACAAAAGTTACCCCATGAGCAGCAAGATTTTTGGTAAGGAAATGAAGTGTTAACCAAGTAAAACTAAAGGAGAACAAAGCAAAACTGAAACTTCTCTGAAGAAAACAATACAAATAGCCAATAAACATCTAAAAAGATGCTAACCTCACTAGCAGATAGAAATGCAAATTAAAGCAATAGATGTGTATTTGTACCCATTTATTTGGCAAAATTAATTACATTATCTCTTGACTGTCTTTCACTCACATTATTCTACTTTTTTTTTTTTTTTTTGACTCCCGTTCTGTCACCCAGACTCGAGTGCAGTGGCACTATCTCTGCTCACGGCATCCTCCGCCTTTTGGGTTCAAGCGATTCTCCTGCCTCCACCTCAAATAGCTGGGATTACAGGCGTGTGCCACCACACCCAGCTAATTTTTGTATTTTTAGTACAGATGGAGTTTCACCATGATGGCCAGGCTGGTCTTGAACTCCTGACCTCAAGTGATCCACCCACCTTGGCCTCCCAAAGTGCTGGGATTACAGGTGTGAGCCATTGTGCCCGGCCCACTCAATCCTACTTCTAATACCACAGGAAATGTTGGCTCTACCTTTCAAGTATCCAGAGTCTAACCACTTGTGTTTACCTCACTGTTACTGTCCTGGCCCAAGCCACTATCATCTCTCAACTGGGTTATTACAATAGTGTCCTAATAGCTCCTCCTTCCGTGCTTTGCCCCCTTCTCTTCCCCCATATTTTATCCTCAAGATAGCAGCCAGAGTGAGGCTATTAACACCTGAGACAGGTCATGTCACTCTTGTGCTCAAAACTCTTATGTTGCTCCTCACTCTGAGTACAAGCCAAAGTCCTGTCAATTGGCTACAAACCCCAACCCATCTGGTCCCTCATTTCCTCTTGGTCCTCTCACCCACTCTGTCTCAGCCACACTGGTCTCCTTGTTTTACTTCTGAAGATGCAAAGCACATCCCTGCCTTGAGACTTTCACACTGAACTGTTTCCTTTGCCTGGAATGCTCTTCTCCCAGAGATCTGCACCCTCACTGCCTTCCAGTCTTTGCTCAAATATCACTTTGGTGAGATCTTCCTTGACTACCCTCATTGAAAGTTTCAATTCTGCTGCCATTCCTAGTTTTCTTTACACAGTATGGTAAATACTCTGTTTTTTTCATAGCATTTCTGATATAACATTCTACATAATTTACTAAATAAGGAAATAACCCTTTTAAGGAAATAATGATAAATAATTATTGTCCCCTCCACTAGGCTGTAAGTGCCGCATGGCAGAGACGTGCCCTGGTGTCTAGTACAGTTCCTGGCACATAGTAGTTACTCAGTATATGTTGAATGAATGGATATTCACTGTAGGTGTGGACGTGTGGAAATGGGCACTCATGTACTACCGTGGGAATGTAAATTGGTAAAGCTCTTTGGAGGCTAATTATCAGTGTTCACATAAATTTTGACCTAGCAATTCTACTTCCTTAGTATCTTCCCTATAGAAATAGATGGACACAATATGTGTAAAAAGATATTCATCACAGTGTTGTTCATAACAGTGAAAAACTGGAAACAACCCAAATGTTAATCAGTACTAAAAAGATTAAATTATGGTTAATATGCACTATGGAATATTATGAATATGTATTCCTTCACAAGAATGTACTGACATCAACAGGGCTCCAGGATATTTTGGTTAGTAAAAACAAGTTGCAAAATAATAAATACAGTGTAAAAACATGTAAAACTATTATATATGTATATATATATATATATAAACTAATATGTAAAAACTAAACAAGTCTTTCTTTTTTTTTGAGATGGAGTTTCACGCATATCACCCAGGTTGGAGTGCAATGGCGCAGTCTCGGCTCACTGCAACCTCTGTCTCCCAGGTTCAAGCGATTCTCCTGCCTCAGCCTCCCAAGTAGCTGGGATTACAGGCGCCGGCCACCATACCCAGCTAATTTTTGTATTTTTAGTAGAGACAGAGTTTCACCATGTTGGCCAGATTGGTCTCCATCTCCTGACCTCAAGTGATCCACCTGCTTCGGCCTCCCAAAGTGCTGGGATTACGGGCGTGAGCCACCGTGCCTGGCCTAAACAAGTCTTATCTATATATGCACATATGTTTGTAAATGCATGGGGGGAAAGGATATGTCCAAGGATAAGGGTGGGGAGGAGAGAGATTAGAAGATTGTAGAAGGTACTTTCTACTATGTGATTTTTGGCCTTAGATTTTTTAAAAATTTTTTAAAATTTACATTTATTTATTTATTTATTTATTTATGAGACAGGGTCTCACTCTTTTGCACAGGCTGGAATGCAGTGGTATGATCTCGGCTCACTGCAACCTCTGCCTCCTGGGTTCAACTGATTCTCTTGCCTCAGCCTCCTGAGTAGCTGGGATTACAGGCACACACCACCATGCCCAACTAATTTTTGTGTTTTTAGTAGAGACGGGGTTTCACTTCATCGCCCAGGCTGGTCTCGAACTCCTGGGCTCAAGCGATCCTCCTGTCTCAGCTTCCCAAAGTGCTATGATTAAAAGCATGAGCCACCATGCCCAGCCTGGTGTTTATTTTTTTATAAGAATTATTCACATGTTACTTATATATTTTATTTATTTATTTATTTATTTATTTATTTATTTATTTATGAAGGAGTTTTGCTCTTGTCGCCCGGGCTGCAGTGCAACGGCGCGATCTCCACTCACTGCACTCTCCGCCTCCTGGTTTCAAGGGATTCTCCAGCCTCAGCCTCCCGAGTGGCTGGGATTACAGGCGCCCACCACCACACCCAGCTAATTTTTTTGTATTTTTAGTAGAGACAGGGTTTCACCATTTTGGCCAGGCTGCTCTCGAACTCCCGACCTCAAGTGATCCGCCCGCCTCAGCCTCCCAAAGTGCTGGGATTACAGGTATGAGCCACGGCGCCCGGCCACTTATATATTTTTAAATTATTTAAGTTATATATAGCAAACTTTAAAGAATCATATGCAGTAATAAAAATTTGAGGAAATGTATCTTTCTCCAAATTCTCTGAAAGTTTTTGTGTTGTTATAAATAAGATCTGGTAGTGTGTTAAATCACGGGAAAAGCAGCTGATTTTGGCGGCCGTCATAAACACTAGTTCTGGTCTCTGAGTTGGATTCACCATGGGCTGGCCAGAGAATGTTCGATTGTACCTATTCAGGCAAGAGAAGCAGCCCCTTGTTTTTCTATATCCTAAATTCATGTACATTGCTGTGCTCAGGAACCCCAATAAAAATAGGAGGCTTTGGATGCTAAGGCAATAGACAGTCAACCTTAAGGTTGAGCCACTTGTGAGGGCTATAGTCCTCTGAAAAAGATTACTGTATTCTCCTAGGGACGTAGCTAGCAGATAGCATTGATATCCACAGGGCCCCATGGTGTATTATTTCTGTTTTCTCTGTGGCAATGGCACAAGGGAGGAGTGGTGGAATCTGCCGTTTTTGGCACACTGAGAGGTATTTGTGCACATGTACACTGTGTATTCCCTTTTCTTGTTAGGTATTAATTGTCCTATCCCCCAAAGTGAGCGTAGGCCTACAAGTGTGGCCACCAGTGGCTGTTTGCTTCCGTCCGCTCTCATCCACAATAATCAAGCACTTCCTGAGAGCCACTGGATACTGGACCTACAGGCTTTATATCTTCATTTTTAACAGGGGCTCAGCAGAAGGGCACCAAGCTCAACAACAGGAAAAGCGTGAACAAACCGTGTTTCTGGCTATGGAAGATTTTTCTCTGTCTTTGAAGACAGTGATGCTATGTCTGTGTTATTAACCAACTCTTTTTGCCTTTGGAAGGTCACGTAGTGTAAGAATTGCCTAAGGGAGTGAAATAAACATCAGTATTGCTGCTGTCAGTTAGGTGTCAAGCCCTTGTTATTCATCCAGCAACTACTGAGCATCTGTGAAGTGAGTCACTGTGTTAGGTGAATGTAACAGGCATTGTTTCTGCCCTCGGGTCCTTCCATGAGTGGGAAAAACACCTACGTAAGTAGGGTTGCCATAAAAGTATGCTCCCATGGGCCAAGTACAAGGTGTAGTGGGAGGGGCATTTAACCTAGAAATGGCAATGACAGGCTTCCTGTAGGAAGTGACATAAAAGCGGACGAAGAAGGAGCTAGACTTAGCTTCACTACCCTCCTATTTGGCTTAAGGCCGTTTATTATCTCCTCTATTGTTTCATTGGTCTTGTGGGAATAAGAGCATCTGGAAAATCTTGAAGACCTTTTTAGCCTTAATAGTTTATGATTCTGTATGACTCACATGATAAAAATCATTTATTTTGTTCATAGCCCTTAGCACTATCTGCTATTATATCTTTTTTTACTCTTTATTATTTGTGTCCTCCAAAGAAAAGCAGGCTTTTTTCTTTTTTTTTTCTGTCTTGTTCTGGGCTATTTCCCTGACACCTAGAATTGTTCTTGGTACATAGTAGCTGCTCAATTAAATATTGTTGAATGAAGAACATTTTATCATACTGTTAATGTGTTGTTGTATATCACAGAAGTCCTTTGCAAATAGTTGGCTGGAGAAGGGGGACAGCATCTTTTTAAGCATTTACACATATGCAAGCAGTCTTTTTTCTAGGAATTCACTGTTTATCCTGAGTGGGGATGTGGCTCCAAAAGGCACTGCTAGCATCACAAGCCAAACCTAACCCAAATACTCTAATGCCTTAATCAGGGATCATTCCACTACAAGACACAAACCCACTAAATTACAAAAAACAACCAAGGGTAGGAAGTGCAGCCAAGCCTCACTGGGAACTAGAATTGGTAAAAACATCAGGACTCACAGCAGCTGCCATATTCCACTCTCCCCCACTCTCCCTCCCTCTTGGTTTTTTTCTGCCTGTCTGCTTCCTTCTTATTGCAACCCTCTTTGTTAATTTTACTTGCACAGTGATGCCCCTAAATGGCACCTTCAGTCCCCAGTTTTCCAGGTTGCTTGCATATAGATGCCCTAAATCCCGATTGCTCAAAGAAAATCAGCTTGGCATTTTTTGGATTAGTTGTCTACCCCAGATCAGTTACCTGTGGCCCTGATGATACAGAGGACTTAACTCTTCAAAACCAAACAAAGAACAATGGATGGATGGAAAGGAAGTAATTAGTGTGGGGAAAAGAAAGAGAGATCAGATTGTTACTGTGTCTGTGTAGAAAGAAGTAGACGTAGGAGACTCCATTTTGTTCTGTACTAAGACAAATTCTTCTGCCTTGAGACTCTGTTAATCTATGACCTTACCCCCAACCCCGTGCTCTCTGAAACATGTGCTGTGTCAACTCAGGGTTAAATGGATTAAGGGCTGTGCAAGATGTGCTTTGTTAAACAGATGCTTGAAGGCAGCATGCTCCTTAAGAGTCATCACCAATCCCTAATCTCAAGTACCCAGGGACACAAACACTGCGGAAGGCCGCAGGGACCTCTGCCTAGGAAAGCCAGGTATTGTCCAAGGTTTCTCCCCATGTGATAGTCTGAAATATGGCCTCGTGGGAAGGGAAAGACCTGACCGTCCCCCAGCCCGACACCCGTAAAGGGTCTGTGCTGAGGAGGATTAGTATAAGAGGAAGGAATGCCACTTTGCAGTTGAGACAAGAGGAAGGCATCTGTCTCCTGCTCGTCCCTGGGCAATGGAATGTCTCGGTATAAAACCCGATTGTATGTTCCATCTACTGAGATAGAGGAAAAACCGCCTTAGGGCTGGAGGTGGGACATGCGGGCAACAATACTGCTCTGTAAGGCATTGAGATGTTTATGTGTATGCATACCTAAAGCACAGCACTTAATTCTTTACCTTGTCTATGATGCAGAGACCTTGTTCACGTGTTTATCTGCTGACCTTCTCTCCACTATTATCCTATGACCCTGTCACCTCCCCCTCTCCGAGAAACACCCAAGAATGATCAATAAATACTAAGGGAACTCAGAGGCTGGCGGGATCCTCCCTATGCTGAACGCCGGTCCCCTGGGCCCCCTTTTTTCTTTCTCTATACTTCGTCTCTGTGTCTCTTTCTTTTCCAAGTCTTTCGTTCCACCTAACGAGAAACACCCACAGGTGTGGAGGGGCAACCCACCCCTTCATCTAGTGGAAGAAATTACTGGCAACTCTAATGGTGTTATTATACACATTTTACTTCTGGAATGAAGTGCTAGGTGACTGGACCAGGAGATGATAAAAGTAGAGTGTGTCGGTGGCTCTCTCCAGCCCCCTTCACCAGACACTACTCCCAGGCACCCCCCCCCAACAAACAAAATTCACCCGTGCCCCCTGTGCCATCTCCCCTGCTTATCGCCTCTTGGGCTTTGTCGAAAGGTTGGAGACAACGGTGAGGCATCTGGTGCTCCCACGGTCCCATTGCTTTGGAGACCAGAGGCAATTGAGGTGCTTTCAGCCGGAAAAATATAATTTAAGGGCTTGGCATCTGGCTGGGAGCAGAGAGCTATGTTGCCATGGTAATGCCTCGCTTCATTTAACAGCAACATATCCCCAAGTTTGGTCACATCCACACTCAGGCACATACAGCACCCCGTCAGCAGCCCCCGTGACGTGCCCACACTCACCTCTGGCAGAAATCCCTCTGCAAGATGCAAAGCCCATTCCCTGCACCCTCCTCTCATCATAGACACCCACACTCCCCCATATCCTTTCCTACAACACCTCGGCCAATTAGGTAGATTCCAAAAACACCTCCAGACAGCACAGAACACTCCAGGGAATTTTGTTTTGTTTCGTTTTGTTTTTGAGACGGAGTTTCACTCTTGTTGCCCAGGCTGGAGTGCAATGGTGCGATCTCGGCTCACCACAACCTCCGCCTCCTGGGTTCAAGCGATTCTCCTGCCTCAGCCTCCCAAGTAGCTGGGATTACAGGCACCTGCAACCACGCCTGGCTAATTTTTTTGTATTTTTTAGTAGAAACGGAGTTTCACCATGTTGGCCAGGCTAGTCTTGAACTCCTGACCTCAGGCAATCCACCCACCTCAGCCTTCCAAAGTGCTGGGATTACAGGTGTGAGCCACCACGCCTGGCCACTCCAGGGAATTTTGAGTGCTCTGTGAGTGCAGACCCTCTTAAATAGGCCCACACCACGAAGGCTGCTGGGGTCCCTGTGCTTCTTCAGCATCCCTAATATGCAACTGTAGCTCCGTCTTCCTTTACAAATCTTTGTGTGTCATCTCCAATCCTTTAATCATGCCCAAGAGGATGGTAATGAGGGAGAGGAGCAGTGGTGGCCAGCGGTGCACAAATCTCTGTTTTCTTGAGAGCAGAGGTTAGCCTCTAGGGGTCAGGTACAAGGACCAAATCCCTGCAGTAATTATCCAGAAGCCCCCAAGTGCCTACTGATATTCTGTTTCTGCCCCTCCCTTAACCCAGGCAGTGGTAAACAGGATGGATCAGAGAAGAGAAACTTGAAAGCACAAGATCATTTATTGCAACACTGTTTATAGTAGTGAAAAAATAGAAATTGCCTAAATGTCCGTTAACAGGAACTAGCTAAATACACTGTGGCTCATCTGTATAATGATGGACTCTATGGGGTTTAAAAGAATTATGCAATCCATGTGTATCATGTGAAAATATGTCAGTATGTAAAGTGTGATCCCACCGATTTTTTTTTTTTCCTGAGATGGAGTCTTGCTGTGTTGCCCAGGCTGGAGTGCAGAGGTGCAGTCTCGGCTCACTGCAACCTCCACTCCCGGGTTCAAGCAATTCTCCTGCCTCAGCCTCCCAAGTAGCTGGGACTACAGGCACACGCCGCCACGCCCAGCTAATTTTTTGTATTTTACTAGAGACGGTTTCACCATGTTGCCCAGGCTGGTCGTGAACTCCTGAGCTCAGGCAATCCGCCTGCCTCAGCCTCCTAAGATTTTTTTAACTTTAGTATATACACATGGATATTGATAATGTGAAGAAAAAGGTCTGAGAAGGCTGGACACAGTGGCTCACACCTGTAATCCCAACACTTTGGGAGGCCCAGGTGGGAGGATCGCTTGAGCCCAGGAGTTTGAGACCAGCCTGGGCAACATAGCAAGACCCTGTCTCTACAAAATATTATAATAATAATAACAAATTAGCCAGGCATGGTGGCATACACCTGTAGTCCCAGCTACTTGGGAGGCTGAGGTGGGAGGATTGCTTGAGCCTGGGAGGTCGAGTCTGCAGTGAACTATGATCGTGCCACTGCTCTCCAGCCTGGGCAACAGAGAAAGACCCTATCCCCCCAAAAAATTAATTAAATTTAAAAAAAGAAAAAGGTCTAAGAAGAGTGGGATCAACAGAGAGGTGATGGTGACAGTTTCAGTTGTCCTTTGCTGCATGACAAACTTAGAGTCTTAGAACAATAACTTGTTATTTTTCCTGATTCTGTGGGTTGGCTTGGTAGCTCCTCGACTAGGTTCCCCTGAACTCACTGATGCAGCTGCATTCACCTAGTGCTGGCTGCCAGCTGGGCTTCCCCAGGTGCCCACATGGCCTCTCATCACCCAGGAGGCTAGAGTGGCTTCTGTGGTGTCCCAGGACAGCAGTCCAAGACCACCAAAGCAGAAGCAGCAGGAGTCCTGAAGGCCGAGGCTCTAGAACTCAACAATATCATGTCTGTCATGCTCTGCTGTTCAAGGCAAGTCAGAAGTTAGCCCGGTTTCAAGGGATGAGGAAACAGACTGAAACTCTTGGTGACATGCATGGCACAGCTACGTTGCCAAAGGGCCTATGGATTGGGATAGGGAGAATCTGTAGCCATGAAACAAACAACTGTCATGGGCACCTCTCACTTTTTACTCTATGCAATTCTGTACTTTGCGTTCAGGTTTTCCTTGTGTAAATTTGAAGAAAAAAATAAGTGGAAGAGTGAATCTAAGAGAGAAAAGCAAGAATGATGAGGATTTTGTAGACACATAATTTAGATAGAAATATCAAAGATGACCTAAAGGCTACCAGCCTTGAATACTAACTCATAGCAAGCTTTTTGTTTTTCAAATCAACTGTGAAGAAGAGAGGATTGGAATATCCAAGGGTGGAGATGCAACGACATTGACTAGTGATTCAGTGGGTGAGAAGCATGAATTTTAAAGAGCAGCAGAAGAAAGTATAGCTATTTCACTGGATTCCCATTTTACAGGAAATAAATGTAATCAGCCTTTGAAATAGCTATACATATGCAGAAGATGTATATATTATCACCAAGCTATCAAAATGGATGGCAGGTTTTTCATTTTCTGCTGGCTCACTGCCTCTTCTTGCTGGACATTAAGTAAATTCCAGAACCACATTCCCACCCATAAAACAAAAGGATCCTCCCTTAGAAAGTATTTGTTTTGTTTTGTTTTGTTTTTTTAAGTGAAGATTTCACACTCATACAACATTCTTGCAAAGTTGGTTTGTTCCATCCGCATGGATGATTTAACAAAACAATAGCCTCAAAGGCTTGGACAAGGCCGGGCGCGGTGGCTCACGCCTGTAATCCCACCACTTTGGGAGGCCAAGGCGGGCGGATCACCCGAGGTCGGCAGTTCGAGACCAGCCTGACCAACATGGAGAAACCCTGTCTCTACTAAAAATACAAAATTAGCCAGGCATGGTGGCACATGCCTATAATCCCAGCTACTGGGGAGGCTGAGGCAGGAGAATCGCTTGAACCTGGGAGGCGGAGGTTGTGGTGAGCCGAGATCGCACCATTGCACTCCAGCCTGGGCAACAAGAGTGAAACTCCATCTCAAAAAAAAAAAAAAAAAAAAAAAAGGCTTGGACAAAGACGGCCAGGAAAAAAGAAAATGAAACCTTATTCTCAAAATAGCAAGTTCGTTGGAAGCATCATGATTCTCTCTGTGTCCTGAGTCAGGGCCTTGTCTATATGCAGCACCGTGGAAAGCCTCAAGTTAACAGAGAGTTCCCAGGACACAGTAGGGACAGGCAGAAGAATAAGACGATCAGAAAAACACCAGGGATGCAGAAGTCATCTGGTCACTGACCCCACAAGGAAGAAAGATGTCATGGGCAGAGGACAGGACCACTGATGTAAGGAAAGGATATGACGGGGGAACCGTCTTCCTCATTTCTGATGTTTCCTTCCTGCAAAGGAAGCTTAATGAGTGGAACTTCCGGAACTCTCTCTGCCCCACTGCTCCCTCCTCTCCTGGTGGGTGTGGGGGAGGAGCAGTGACTGTTCCCACTGGTTTTTTGGTGGGGAGGGGAGGAAGGTTGTTTGTTTGTTTGTTTGTTTGAGACAGGTTCTTGCTTTGTTGTCCAGGCTGCAGTGCAGTGGCATGATCATGGCTCACTGCAGCCTCCGCCTCCTGGGCTCAAGCAATCCTCCCACCTCAGCCTCCCGAGTAGCTGGGACCACAGGCATGCACCACCACACCCAGCTCATTTTTCTATTTATTGTAGTGATGGGGTTTCACCATGTTGCCCAGGTTGGTCTCGTACTCCTGGGCTCAAGTGATCTGCCCACATCACCCTCCCAAAGTGCTAGGATTACAGGTGTAAGCCACCATGCCCAGCCTGTTCCCACTGTTAATTTTGAGAATACCTGGGTATCTTTGGCTCAGATCCATACTTTTGTCTCTGTTGGGCATGATTCCACCTGTTGAGAAGTTTTCTCCCCTTCTTCATGCTTCTACTCTGCAAGGGGAGGTCTCTGCTCCACCCAGTGTTCCTTGGGTCTGTGTGGGTATCCACCTAAATTCTGGGGTTTGGGATTGTCAGGCTCAATTGGCTTAAGTCACATCCTGCAATTTGGCCTCTTATCACTAATGAAAGTGCTATTTCACCTTCCATATTTACTTTTTGTTTTATTTCTTGGCTGCAAAACCCAGGAAAAAATAAGAGAGTGTCCTCTTGAAGCCTGTATCAGTTGTTTATTGCTGGAAATATGGCCACATTTACTTAAAACGATGAATCTTTATGTTCTCACACAGTGCCTCTGGGAGCAGCTTGCCTGAGTGGTTGGTGAGGCTCAGGGAGGCTCAGGAGGTTACAGGCAGGACGTTGGTCCAGGCCGCAGTTGTCTGAAGCTTGATGCGGCTGGGGCATCGGCTTCCAACCTGGCTGAGGGCAGAAGGCCTCAGTTCCACACACGTGGGCATCTCCACAGAGCTGCTGCATGTCCTCATGACATGGCAAGGGTCTTCCCTGAGCAATGATCCAAGTAAGAAAGAACAGGAAGTTCCAGTGCCTTTTGTGACCTAGTTTCTGCAGTTGCACACCATCACTTTTGCTTTATGTTTTTAGAAGCCAGTCTCTGAGTCTACCCCAGGAGAAGAATTAGGCTCCCCATCTTCAGGAGAGCAGCAAAGAACTTGCAGATCTTTCTTAAAACCACAGAGACCTCGATAAAGGAAAAGTAACTGGGCTCTCATACAAGAAGCTGGTCCAGAGTTGGAGAAAGAGAAGCCATTCCTGCTGGGCGCGGTGGCTCATGCCTGTAATCCCAGCACTTTGAGAGGCCGAGGCAAGCAGATCACCTGAGGTCAGGAGTTCGAGACCAGCCTAACCAACATGGAGAAACCCCATCTCTACTAAAAATACAAAATTAGCCGGGCATGGTGATGCATGCCTGTAATCCCAGCTACTCGGGAGGCTGAGACAGGAGAATCACTTGATCCTGGGAGGCGGAGGTTGCGGTGAGCTAAGATCGCACCATTGCACTCCAGCCTGGGAAACAACAGCAAAACTCTGTCTCCAAAAAAAAAAAGCCATTCCTTCAAACAGCTCTTACTGAAAACCCGCTAACTGCTCGGCTTTGTGCGGGATGTAGCCTGTGAAGGCAGAAATACTACAAGATTCTTTTGCTCGAGGTCTGAGTGAGAGAACACATCCTTAAGAGACGCTCTCCTTTGCTCTAGCCCTCCCTATCAGCCCAAGGGAAGTGCCTGCCCAGAGACCTTGGCCTCCTTGCGCTCTGAGGACCCAGGACCCCAACATCCTCTTCCCAAGTGGCCCCGAGCCTGCTTCTCAGCCTCTGCAGCCTCATCCTCAAGTTCATCCTCCCGCCTGTGTACACACCCCCAAGCCCAGGGCAGCTCTTGGTGGGAACTGGCCAAAGCTTAGCCCTGCAGGCTGGGCTGTGGAGTGCCCACACTCATGGTGTGGGTCTGAGGCAGGGCAGGAGGAGAAGGAGGCCTCACCTCCTGGAAAGGAGATGACGCACAGAGGTCTAGGTCTCCACAGTACATCGGGGTGTTCCTTTCCTTCCTCCTCTTACCTGTAATCTAGCAAGTGTATGCAGGGGCTGCATGCCTCTTCACAGCCCAAGACTAGCAGCCAGCCCCTCAACAATAGGTGGGTGTGGTGTCACTTCTGAGCCCAGGCCTCCCTCTAGTGACCAGTCGGGAGACAACAGCCAGAGGCTCTTTGCTACTCTCCTGCACCTCTTCCAGAACCTGCTTTCCAGAACACAGATCTGATCCTGTTGTTCCTGGCTTAGAAACCTCAAAAGCAAAGAGCAAAACCTCCCAAGCTCCCTGTGTTCCCACATGCCTTTAAGTCCCTTAGCCTGCTTTATGTTATCCCAGGGCCAGCCAGGAGGCCCTTCCAGGTTTAAGCCAGCCTATATCTCCAGGATGGCTCAGAGCCAGCTTCCAGCACACACACACACACACACACACACACACACACACACCCCTCCCTCCACCACCTGTTACACACAGACCTCTGTCCACCACCTGTTACACACACACATACACGTCATCTCTGCTACATAAAGTGCACATACACACGTTTGAATTCTGCAACCCCTCTCCCACCCGCTCTGCTACACACACACACACACACACTGTCATCCTCCACTGCCACACTGTTTGCCACACCAAACACACCATAGATTCCCTGCCTCCTTTTTTTTTTTTTTTTTTTGATACGGAGTCTGGCTGTGTCACCCAGGCTGGAGTGCACTGGCACGATCTTGGCTCACTGTAACCTCCGCCTCCTGGGTTCAAGCAATTCTTGTGCCTCTCTTTTGCTGACAATTAACCACCCACCTTTGTCCATCAATCAAACAAACCTTGACTCCTCCATAAAGACTCACGTAACAGCTTCTTTGTGGCTTGCTCCAGCCCCTGTGAGAGTTAACAGTGGCTCCTTGCTGGTTCCTGAAGCACTTTTGTGCAGAACAATCGCTAACATCTATTGAGCCCTTAACGCCAGCTGAAGGCTCCACAGGGATTACCTCATGTGGTCTCACAGTAACCCTCAACGCCAGGCGCTGCTGTCATCCTCGTTTTACAGATGTGGCAAAGGAGAAGAGAGGGGCTAAATCATGGGCCCGAGGTGACCCGGGGAGCAAGAGCTGTGTGGTGCCCACGTGCTCCCTGGGCCAGGGCTCTTCAGCAGGCGCCCTTGCTTCCTGCCCGCTGAGAGCCCCTTCAGAGAGAGGCCTGTTCTCCTGCCTCTGAATGCCCAGCATGAAGCACCACAGCCCTGTGCTTGGAGCCTGCTAGACCCACCACGCATTTCCTGGATTGAATGGCAGGCAGGAAGAGCTAGCTCTGCCTACTACCATCTTTCTCAGGCCCTTCGTGTCTGAACCCTGATTCTAAATCTCCCACCTACAGCCAAAAATCTTGTTTCCCTGCACAGAGCCAGTCAGATATACTTAGCAAATGAAGGCAGAAGCTGTGGGCACAGTTTGCAGTGTAAGGACAAGGTATAAGTTGGGGCTAGTTATCAAAACAGCTGATCCTCCATTCCCCACCTCTAACCTAATTAGCCCCAAACCAGCCAGGAGTTGGCACTCATCCCCAGGTGCTCCCTCAGGACTCCAGCGTGTCCCAGAGGGCTGCCTCCCTGACCCAGGGCCCCGTCCCTGCTGCCCTTCCTCCTGCCACTGGGGGAGCAGCCTGCCTTCGTCCCCTCTCCTTACTTCCTTTCTTGCCGCTTTCCTGTCTTCTGTCTTCACTCACTTTAACTTAGGCAACATGCATTAAATAAACTCCTTTTTGGCTCACCTGGAGTGCTCATTTGCTAAGTTGCATCCGTTTCCTCTTTTTTTTTTTTTTTTTTTTTTTGAGATGGAGTCTCACTCTGTCGCCTAGGCTGGAACGCAGTGGTGTGATCTCGGCATGGCAATTCTCCTGCCTCAGCCTCCTGAGTAGCTGGGACTAGAGGCGCCCGCCACCACGCCTGGCTAATTTTTGTATTTTTGGTAGAGATGGGGTTTCACCATGTTGGCCAGGCTGGTCTCAAACTCCTGACCTCAGGTGATCCACCTGCTTCAGCCTTCAAAGTGCTGACATTACAGGCATGAGCCACTGCACCCAGCCCTTTTCTTCCTTTTCTTCAAAGTGGAAATACAAGGTCTCTTTGTTCTTCTGGATTATGACAGTAGTATGGTTTTCCTGCAAAAAATTCAAACACAGCCGTCCATTTTCCCATCAGCCAAGAAGGACGTTGTTGTTAAGGCTGGCATACCTATCAAGGACAGTAACTGCCATGGCTTCCGGTGCTTTGACGAAACCCGATGCGTGGCCTTCTGGCCAAGCACCTGTGCTTTCATCTTGTTTGAGAACTCATTGTATCTGCGGGGGTCGCAGCTCTCTATAAGTTTGCTGTGGCTGAACCAAGAAAAAAGACATACACAGATTTCTACAGTAATTATGAGTTCAATGAAAGATTTTTGAGGAAATGAGGAAGGCTGGTATCTTTCAGAGTGCAAAGTGATTTGGGAATATAAAAAATTTATTTGAGTTGCATCACCTAGAAGTTTGTCACTGACTTGTGTTCTTGAACTAGAAACATGAATGTGTGGGCTAAGAAATAGTTTCTCTTGATAAAGAAACAACATATTTTTTAAAAAATCGAAACACAGGCCAGGTGCGGTGGCTCATGCCTATAATCCCAGCACTTTGGGAGGCCAAGGCGGGCGGATCACCTGAGGTCAGGAGTTTGAGACCAGCCTGACCAACATGGAGAAACCCCATCTCTACTAAAAATGTAAAATTAGCAGGGCATGGTGGCCCATGCCTGTAATCCCAGCTACTCAGGAGGCTGAGGCAGGAGAATCACTTGAACCTAGGAGGCGGAGATTGCAGTGAACCGAGATCACACCATTGCACTCCAGCCTGGGCAACAAGAGCGAAGCTCCATCTCAAAAAACAAACAAACAAACAAACAAACAAAACCACAAATGTTTAAAGTAGAAAGTGAAAGTGGTCAGCCATCCCACTACAAGATAACCAGTGTTTTCAGTTTGGTTTATAGCATTCCAGATTAGCATGTGTGTGTATGAGTTTGTCATTTTACGTTTTTTTTTGTTGTTGTTGTTGTTTTTGGAGACAGAGTCTTGCACTGTTGCCCAGGCTGGAGTGTGGTTGCAGGATTTCGGGTCACTGCAACCTCTGCCTCCTGGATTCACGCAATTCTCCTGCCTCAGCCTCCCGAGTAGCTGAGACTACAAGCATGCACCACCATGCCTGGCTAATTTTTGTATTTTGGTAGAGACAGGTTTTGCCATGTTGGCCAGGCTGGTCTCCAACTCCTGACCTCAAGTGATCCATCTACCTCAGCCTCCCAGTGTGCTGCGATTACAGGTGTGAGCCACCGTGCCCAGCCTAGTTTGTCATTTTACTTTAATTTGAATCATAAATGAAAATCTGTCTCTCTCTCTCTCTCACGGTAATTTTATTCCAGCAGCCCTAGGTTGAAATCACAATGCTGCTACAAGGTCTTAGTCAAAAGCCACCCAGAATCATTCCGACAGAATGCTCTGGTTTCAGTTGGGGAGGAATCAGACAAGGTAGTATTGGAACCTTTCCTTCCAGAGGACTCCTAAGGTCCTTAGAGCAACTAGTCATACAAGCTCTACATATAGGCCGGGTGAAGTGGCTCACGCCTGTAATCCCAGCACTTCGGGAGGCCAAGGCGGGTGGATCACCTGAGATCAGGAGTTCGAGACCAGCCTGACCAACATGGTGAAACCCCATCTCTACTAAAAATACAAAAATTAGCCAGGCGTGGTGGCGGGCGCCTGTAATCCCAGCTACTCAGGAGGCTGAGGCACAAGAATCGCTTGAACCCGGGAGGCGGAGGTTGCAGTGAGCCGAGATCGTGCCACTGCACTCCAGCCTGGCAACAGAGCAAGATTATGTCTCAAACAAAAAAGCAAAACAAGACGAAAAAACTCTACATATAAAATGGCCTTTTCTAACTCATGGGAAAGTCTTTTTACACCATTTTCCCAGAACAAGACTTCTATTTACTCATATTTACCAAAACTAAGAGATCCATTGGCATCACGTTTCCCCCTGTAATAATAAAATATCACCATACTCAGGTAATTTGCTGGCTTCCCTTCAGAACAAAGCAGAGGATGGCAGGGTACTGGGAGGCAGCGGGGACTCACTTTAGCAGACGTTCATTTATTCATTCCACAAGCATTGGCTGAGGAAACAATGATAATACGCGGTTCCTGCTCACAGGCTATGAGAATAATGCGTCTTCTCCACAGAGTGCCAGCGGCATCAAGGGTAAAGTACTCAATACAGGGTAAAATGCCAGACATGGGTAGAGCAATGATTACTGTGACACACTTCTAGACTCATGAGAGCTTGATGCTTAAAAACTGGGAGAGCCGTTACATTGTTTACTAATAAGAGATACAACTTTTTTTTTTTTTTTTTTTTTTTTTGAGATGGAGTCTGTCTCTGTCACCAGGCCTGGAGTACAGTTGCACGATCTCAGCTCACTGCAACCTCCGCCTCCCAGGTTCAAGTGATTCTTCTGCCTCAGCCTTCCGAGCAGCTAGGATCACAGGTGCCTGCCACCACGCCCAGCTAATTTTTGTATTTTTAGTAGAGACAGGGTTTCACTGTGTTGGCCAGGATGGTCTCCATCTCTTGACCTTGTGATCCACCTGCCTTGGCCTCCCAAGTGCTGGGATTACAGGTGTGAAACACCATGCCCAGCCTGGAGATACAACTTTTAAACGGGCCAGGCATGGTGCCTCACACCTGGAATCCCAGCATTTTGGGAGGCCAAGGCAGGAGGATCGCTTGAGGTCGGTGGTGGGCCAGCCTGGGCAACAGAGTGAGACCCCAACTCTACAAAAAATTTAAAAATTGGCTGGGCATGGTGGTGCGTGCCTGTAGTCCCTGCTACTTGGGAAGCTGGATTGGGAGGATCACTTGAGCCCAGGGGCTCCGGGCTACAGAGAGCTATGATTGTACCACTGCACTCCAGCCCAGATGACAGAGTGAGAACTTGTCTCAAAAAAGAAAAAAAAGATTGGCTACTTTTGTTTACTGATCATATTCTCTCCTGTAGGTTTATAATTAAAAATGAGAATAATAATGTATATAATATAATGATAATAATAAGAGTTACTCTTCGTTGAGTGCATGCTATGTGCTAGGTACTGGGCTGAGCCTGTTATCTTCATTTTCTCATCTAAATCTCTCTACAACACTATGTGGTGGGTACTGTTTCTTTTCTTTTTCTCTTTTTTTTTGAGATAGGGTCTCACTCTGTCACCCAGCCTGGAGTGCAGTGGCACAATCTCGGCTCACCTGCAACCTCTGTCTCCCAGGTTCAAGCAATTCTGCCTCAGCCTCCCAAGTAGCTGGGACTACAGGTGTGCGCCACCATGCCCAGCAACTTTTTGTATTTGTTGGTAGAGACAGGGTTTCACTGTGTTGGCCAGGCTGAGTGGGTACTGTTTTATCCCCACTTTGCAGATGGGGTTCAGAAATGTTTAGGGCAAATAAGTTGAGACCCAGAATTCAAACTCAGTTCTGCCTGCCACCAAGACCCAAGCTCTGAATTGCTCACTTATGGTAA
The DNA here is from genome assembly GCF_000001405.40 of Homo sapiens. Classification (NCBI taxonomy): domain Eukaryota; kingdom Metazoa; phylum Chordata; class Mammalia; order Primates; family Hominidae; genus Homo; species Homo sapiens. The sequence goes on along the minus strand of NC_000014.9, from coordinate 77,649,711 downwards.
CTCTTCCCATCTGGGAAACCAGATTGTAATCTGGACTCAGAAGAAGGGACATTAAATTAGGTGGAGATTCTTAAACACAACTCAGACGTAATTGAGCCTTTTTGGAGCCAGTCTCAACGCAACAATGTACCACAAACAAAGCGCAAATCTGACTCCCAAAGCCTCTGTGCCAAAAGTCTATTTTCCCAAAGGTTTTCTGAAAGAGCCAAGAGGTTACACATCACAAAACATCCTAAGCATTTTGTTTCAACATCTTTTCCCCAAAGTCCTCCTTCTTCCAGCAGCTGTCCACAAGCCCTTCCTCTACCTTCTCTCTACTTCATCCCACTCATTCCTTTTTTTTTTTTTTTTTTTTAAAGACAAGGTCTAGCTCTGTCACCCAGGCTGGAGTACAGTGGTGTGATCCTAGCTTACTGCACCCTCAAACTCTTCGGCTCAAGCGATCCTCCCACCTCAGCCTCCTGAGTAGAAGGGACTACAGGCATGTGTCACCACACCTGGCTGATTTTTGTATTTTTAGTAGAGACAAGATTTCGTCAAGTCACCCAGGCTAGTCTAGAACTCCTGGCCTCCTGTGATGCTCCTGCCTCGGCCTTCCAGTGTGCTGGTATTATAGGTGTGAGCCACTGCACCTGGCCCATTCCTTCCTTTTGAACTCTTCCTCTGCTTCATCTGAGACTTCTCCTCCTTCCTCCAGAATTTTACCCTCATTACTATCTCAGAGATTACAGACTGATAACTCCAAACACAGCCTACAAAAGTGTTTTGTTTGGCTGTTACTGCTCTTGGAAGTGGGGCAGGTGCTTCATTAATCACTGGATCACTGTCCTCCCTTCCCTATAGCCTGTGGACTGTGTGTCTGAGGGTCACTTGCTCTTTGTCATCCTCCTAACCCATGTAAGTAATTGGCCTGACCTCTTGGATCTTGGATTTCCAGTTATTGGCCTGACCTCTTGGATTTCTAAGCCCAAGGCCTTTTTCTTTCTTCCTTCCTTCCTTCCTTCCTTCCTTCCTTCCTTCCTTCCTTCCTTTCTTCCTTCCTTCCTCCCTTCCTTCCTTTCTTTTCTTTCTTTCTTTTTCTTTCTTTCTTCTTTCCTTTCTTTCCTTTCTTTCTCTCTCTCTCTTTCAAGACATGGCCTCACTCTGTCACCCAGGCTGGAGTGCAGTGGTATGATCTCAGCTCACTGCAACCGCTGCCTCCCAGGTTCAAACAATTCTCCCACCTCAGTCTCCCGAGTAGCTGGGACTACAGGTGCGTGCCACCACGCCCAGCTAATTTTTGTATTTGTAGTAGAGATGGTGTCTCACCATGTTGCCCAGGCTGGTCTTGAACTCCTGAGCTCAAGCAATCTGCCTGTCTCAGCCTCCCAAACTGCTGAGATTACAGGCATGAGCCACCGCACCCGGCCTCTACTTTTTTATTTGGAACCACAACATGATAACCAGTGCAGCTAGACTTTGGAGACCACCTTGGGGTGGATTTGTCTGTCATGTCTGTGAGTGTATTTGGACACCTTGGAAATGTGTCACTGATTAGGAAGACTGTAGCTCTGGTTCCTTTAAAAAGATTCCAGGCCTAGGCACATCGGCTTATAAGAAATTATCCAAGTGGGTGCACAATGAAGTGCATGCATCCTGCCCTCATTTGAATGCTGATCAAAGTTCAGGCGTATCTCCTAGGGACCCACTCTTATCACAGACTAAGAGTCAATTGTGCAATAAAAAGTGAATGCTTATCATATCACATGGTGATAAATAATACAGGTTGTTTTAATACTCATTTTAAGATTAGATGCTTGTAGTCTAACTTATGATAAGTAAGAATCTCAGGGCTTAGGGATTCAACTTTGAAACAAACTTTCTCCTTTTCCTTTTGAGCTTGGGAATTCATTTAAATAGAGACTTCTTAAGATTGCAAGGTTAGCTTTTACCATTTCTAACAACTTTTCTGTTACTGCAGATTTCTACGGTATTTTGCTGTGGTGGACTCTATTGTTGTTTATGAGTATTCTTTACTCCTTTCTTTCGTTCTTTCTTTTTTTTTTTTGATATGAAGTTTTGCTGTGTTGCCCAGGCTGTAGTGCAGTGGCACAATCTCGGCTCACTGCCACCTCCACCACCTGAGTTCAAGCAATTCTCCTGCCTCAGCCTCCTGAGTAGTTAGGACTACAGGCGTGCGCCATCACGCCCAGCTAATTTTTGTATTTTTAGTAGGGATGGGGTTTTGCTGTGTTGGCCAGGCTCGTCTTGAACATTTGACCTCAAGTGATCCTCCTGCCTTGGCCTCCCAAAGTGCTGGAATTACAGGCATGAGCTACCAGCCCAGCCCTCTTGTCTCCTTTCTTGAATAGGATCATATTTCCTTGCTTGTTGACATCAGGCTTTGACCATGTGATTTGTTTGGGCCAAAAAATGTGAGCAGAGCGATGTGTGTTAATGTTAGAGCCAGAGCTCTAAGAGCCAGCAGTGGTTTTACATGGTTCTCTCTTCCCTCTGGCACAGCAAGGACAGCCAGGCCCTGGCAGGAGGGCGACCTGTAGCAGAGCTGTGGCTGCCCCAGATGGATACAGGGCATGAGCGAGAAATAAACCTTTGTTGTTACATGGCACTGAAATGTTGGGACCAATTGTTACAGCGGCATAACCTAACCTATCCTGACCAAGATGTATGCAAGCAAACCAAAACTATTAACTCTGATACTGAAGCTGACAGGACAGGAGATTGCAATAAACCCAGTTTCATTTTTCCCTAATCATTAACATGATCTAATTGTTCTCATTGATTGAGAGGTAAGTGTTGTAAATTTAAACTCTAAAATAATTACATACTAATAAAATTCTCTATATAATATGATACATAATATATACATACATACATATATTGTAGTCCGCCCTTGCACAGTTTTGCTTTCCATGGTTTCAGTTACTCAGGGTACAGTATAGTAAGATATTTTGACAGAGAGATGAGAGAGAGATGGAGAGAGACCACATTCACATCACATTCATTATAGTATATTGTTATAATTGTTCTATTTTATTATTAGTTATTGTTAATCTCTTACTGTATCTAATTTTGAAATTAAAGATTATCAGAGCTATGTATGTATAGGAAAAAACATAGCGTATATAGAGCTTGGTACCATAAGCAGTATGAGGCATCCTCTGGGGGTCTTGGAATGTAGCCCCGGGAGATATTGGGGGGACTACTGTATACACACATATACATATATACAGTCTCTATAAATTTTTTTTTTTGGGACAGAGTCTCGCTCTGTCGCCCAGGCTGGAGTGCAGTGGTGCGATCTCAGCTCACTACAACCTCCGCCTCCCGGGTTCAAGAGACTCTCCAGCCTCACCTTCCCGAGTAGCTGGGACTACGGGCATGTGCCACTGCATCCAGCTAATTTTATTTTATTTTTTGTATTTTTAGTAGAGACGGGGTTTCACCATGTTGGCCAGGCTGATCTCGAACTCCTGACCTCAGATGATCCGCCCACCTCAGCCTCCCAAAGTACTGGGATTACAGGCGTGAGCCACTGCGCCCAGCCAGTCTCTGTAAATTTTTGAAAACAAAGTTCTGCTTGTAAAAATCATTAAATTCTCAGGACAAAATTCTGGTGTTTATGGGGCAGATCCCCCCCAAAACAAAGCTCAGATGAGAGCTGTCAATCAAAAAAGCTGTTGGCTTTATTGGTGTCTCCTTTTCTAAGCATTTGTTGCCAGTCAACTCCTTTCCAATGAACTTTTTTCTTGAAGTAGGTCCATAGCGTTGATCCACCTACTGTGTCAAGTACTGCAAACCTGGAAGCCATTCTACCTCTTTAACATAGATGGGTATCTCTGCTCAAATCCACTGTGAGTGAAATATTTTAAAATTATTGCAGTAATACATGTACATAGCAAAAAAGGCATACCAGAGATACGTGATAAGTAAATTATCTCTCCCTTCCCTAACCCGCAGTGCCACTTCTCAGAAGTAATTATGTGAGGAATTTCTTATCAGGGCCAGTTTCGCGGGAGTGTTACCGATACAGTCACACAGGCTCCGCACTCAGAAGGACTGTGCGCGCTTCATTTAATGCTCTGCCATTGCCTTCTTGAATTTTTTTTTTTTTTTTAGATGGAGTCTCGCTCTTGTCGCCCAGGCTGGAGTGCAATGACACGATCTTGGCTCACTGCAACCTCCACCTCCCAGGTTCCAGGGATTCTCCTGCCTCAGCCTCCCAAGTAGCTGGGATTACAGGTGCCTGCCACCACGTCTGGCTAATTTTTGTATTTTTAGTAGAGATGGAGTTTCACCGTGTTGACCAGGCTGGTCTCAAACTCCTGACCCCAGGTGATCCGCCCGCCTTGGCCTCCCAAAGTGCTGGGATTACAGGAGTGAGCCACCATACCCAGCCAATTTTAGAAATGTAATTTAACCCATTGTGAGTGCTTGGTAGACAATCCACATAGCCTATGAGTAATGACAGCCTGAGCTATGGGTGTGACTTATAGAGCTGGAGAACTTATTTTTTGTTTGTTTGTTTGAGACAGAGTCTCTCTTTCTTGTCCAGGCTGGAGTGCAGTGGCACAATCACGGCTCACTGTAGCCTTGACCTCTCAGGCTCAAGGGATCCTCCCACCTCAGCCTCAAGAGTAGCTGGAACCGCAGTGCACATCACCATGCCCAGCTAATTTTTGTATTTTTTGTACAGATGGAGTTTCACTATGTTGCCGAGGCTGGTCTTGAACTCCTGGGCTCAAGTGATCCTCCGCCTCGGCATCCCAAAGTGCTGGGATTACAGGCATGAGCCACCGCACCTGGCCCTTCTCAGCTTTTCTATCACTAATTCTCTGCATTAAACATTCTCTGTTTCAAGTGCTCAAAGTGGTTTCCCCTTTCCTGGTTGACCCCTGAATGATTCTCTAAATAATTCTTGCAGACATTACATGTCCTATGATATATCTAGCTCTAGTCACTGGTAATACAGTGTGCTGCATATGAAACTCATTCTAAAAGTAGGCTGACTGGAGTTTGAATCCTGACTCCAACCATTTCCTAGCCTCAGTTCCCTCATCTGCAAAATCAGGATAATACTAAAATCTAGCCCGTAGGGGAAATAGTGCTTGAAACATACTTAGCATAGTGCTTGGCACAGAGTAAGTGTTCAGTGTTAGCTAATATAACAGGAGGAAGATCAGGGGCTTGCGAGAAGCTGACAGTGTCAACCGTAATTCCCAGACTGTTCTCATAATTTATGGTGTGTGCATTGTACAGCATTGTAAGCTCTTGTGTAGCATCCTAGAAACTTGTTTATAATCCCCTACCATGCCCAGAACAGTGATTAGAACATAGGAGAGCCTCAGAAAGTTGGCTTGTTCTTGATTTTGTAATTACCACAGAATACCTTACATTAGGCCCCCCCTTTTCCTATACTGCTTAAAGCTGGCCCTGATCTTGTCCTTAGTTTCTGGGCCTTTGTTTTTGAGACGGAATCTCGCTCTGTCGCCCAGGTTGGAGTGCAGTGGCACGATCTTGGCTCACTGCAACCTCTGCCTCCAGTGTTCAAGTGATCCTCCGGCCTCAGCCTCCTAAGTAGCTGGGATTACAAGTGTGCACCACCACACCTAGCTAATTTTTGTATTTTTAGTATAGATGGGGTTTCACCATTTTGGCCAGGCTGGTCTTGAACTCCTGACCTCAAGTGATCCGCCCGCCTCGTCCTCCCAAAGCGCTGGGATTACAAGTGTGAGCCACCACACCCACCAGTTTTTGGGCCTTTAATCAAAGGACTCCAGTATCTGCGGAGTCCTGTCTCCTCTCCCCACTCACCCCTCACATACCCGACTCAGACCCCAGCGTTTAAAACCAAAAGAACTGCTGAGAACTCCAGACCAGAAATCAGCAAACTTTTTCTGTAGAGGGCCAGACAGTAAAGATTTTGGGTTTTCCAGGCCGCTTATAATTTCTCTTGTAACTACTCAACTCTGCCTTTGCAGTGTGGAACAGCCATTAATGAATGAATGTGGTCGTGTACCAATGAAACTTTATTGCTGGACACTGACATTTGAATTTTATATAATTTTCACACTTCATGAACTATTACTATTCTTTTGACTTCTCTTTAACCATTCAAAAGTGTAAAGACCATTCTTGGCTCTCAGGCTGTACAAAAACAGGCAGCAAGCAGGATTTGGCTGGCAGGTCATAGTTTTCGGTTGGCTTTTGCTCAAGTTCCTGTCTTCTTTTTGTTCCCCTCTTTCTTTCCTTCTTTGCTGTGTGACACTAAGTTACTTAGCCTCTCTGGGCCTCAGTTCTTTACCAGTAACTCTGGAGTGGCAGTAGATGAGTGTTTTTCAAAACCAGATCATCAGTAAGAATGGGATGAAGGGAGGAACAAGAGGGAAGCTGTTGGTTTTGTAGTTTTATTGTTTTTCATCTCTTTTATCTGTTTAGACTTACAGGTAAAATTCTATTCTTTTTTTTTTTTTTTTTTTTTTTTTGAGACAGAGTCTTGCTCTTTTGCCCAGGCCAGAGTGCAGTGGCGTGATCTTGGCTCACTGCAACCTCCGCCTCCAGGGTTCGAGCGATTCTCCTGCCTCAGCCTCCTGAGTAGCTGGGATTACAGGCACTCACCACCACGCCCCGCTAATTTTTGTATTTTTAGTAGAGATGGGGTTTCACCATGTTGGCCAGGCTGGTCTCAAACTCCTGACCTTAGGTGATCCGCCCACCTCGGCCTCCCAAAGCGTTGGAATTACAGGTGTTAGCCACTGCACCTGGCCAAAAATTGCATTCCTACACACACACACACACACACACACACACACACACACACACACACACATTTATTTATTTATTTATTTATTTATTTATTTATTTATTTATTTGAGACAGGGTCTCACTCTGTTGCCCAGGCTGGAGTGCAGTGTCACAATCATAGCTCACTACAGCCTCAAGTTCCTGGGCTCAAGTGATCCTCCTGCCTTAGCCTCCCGAGTAGCTGGGACTACAGGTGCACACCATCACACACGGCCAATTTTTAATTTTTTTTTGTAGAGATAAGGTCTCCCTTTGTTGCCCAGGCTGGTCTCCAACTCTGGGCTCCAGCAATCTTCCAGCCTTGGCCTCCCAAAGTGCTGCGATTACAAGCGTGAGCCACCGCTCCCAGCCTTAACATTCCATTTAAACAAAAAGTACTCTTCCTACAAATACTTTTGGGAAATTGCCAATTAGTCCGGGGGTTCAACGGTTTTTCCTGCCTCCATCAATAACATTTCATGGGGCAGAGGTGAAATAGGTGTGAAAGTTATTGTCCTCCTTGAGCAACCCCTTCCTGACCGTCAGTGCATTTGTTTGTGTCTTGGGTCCTTTCAGTTCCAAGTTTCATTCGCTTATTCATGATGGAAACGTTTGTTGAGCGCCTCGGGTGAGCGGGGCCAGGACTGGATGTTCTGCAGCAGACGGCGCAGGCGCAGAAGTGGCTGAAGGTGCCCGCGCCGAGCGCTGCGGCCTGAACCACCCAGGAGCTCGAGGAAAGAGGGAGGACGGGAGGGAAAGCTGGATCCAGACAGACCCCAGCTCCTGGGTTCCCAGAATTGTCCGGCTATTCCTCCAAAGCCCCCGCTATCTTGCTTCCGACTTCCTTCCGGCGCTTTCTGTAAACACATCTTTCAGTTTCCTGGGCTAGCCTCTCGCCCGCGCATCCTCCCC